>NC_000004.12:134375926-134678956 GCF_000001405.40 Homo sapiens | reverse complement strand
TTCCAGACACCAGACTAACTTAGACTGTGCCCCAAAAAAACTTGTCATCTCTACTATCTTCTGTCTAGTCATACTCCTATTCACCGTTCTGAACTACTCATACATGCTCTGCTCTTGTTTACACTGCCAGTTTACACTGTTTCTCCAAGCCATCACAGCTGATGTCTCCTGGTGCTATCCCCAAACTGCCACTCTTAACTCTTGAAGTAAATAAATAATCTTTGCTGGCAGGACTATGCTGAATTTCCTTAGGCACTCTCTAATTAGATGTCCTACGTCCTCCCAATTCTTAGACCTTTAATAGCTGTTTTTCTCCTTCTCTTATTCCGTTTAGTTTTTCAATTCATACAAAACTGTATCCAGGCCATTACCAATAATTCTAAATGACAAATATTTCTTCTAACAGTCCCACAATATCACCCCTTACCACAAAATCTTCCTTCAGCTTAATCTCTCCCACTCTAGGTTCCCATGCTGCCCCTAATCCCACTCAAAGCACCCTGAGAAACATCGCCCATTGTCTCTCCATACCACCCCCAAAAATTTTCACCGCCCCAACACTTTACCACTATTTCATTTTATTTTTCTTATTAATATAAGAAGACAGGAATGTCAGGCCTCGGAGCCCAAGCTAAGCCATCATATCCCCTGTGACCTGCATGTACACATCCAGATGGCCGGTTCCTGCCTTAACTGATGACATTCCACCACAAAAGAAGTGAAAATGGCCTGTTCCTGCCTTAACTGATGACATTGTCTTGTGAAATTCCTTCTCCTGGCTCATCCTGGCTCAAAAGCTCCCCTACTGAGCACCTTGTGACCCCCACTCTGCCCGCCAGAGAACAACCCCCCTTTGACTGTAATTTTCCTTTACCTACCCAAATCCTATAAAACGGCCCCACCCCATCTCCCTTCACTGACTCTCTTTTCGGACTCAGCCCGCCTGCACCCAGGTGAAATAAACAGCCATGTTGCTCACACAAAGCCTGTTTGGTGGTCTCTTCACACGGACGCGCATGAAAGTTACTGTAACCAAAACACCATGGTACTGATACAAAAACAGACACACAGAACAACAGGACAGAATAGAGAGCCCAGAAATAATGTTGCACACCTACAACTATCTGATGTTCAAAAAGCTAACAAAAAAAAAGCAAGGGGGAAAGGACTCCCCATTTAATAACTGGTTCTGAGATAACTGGATAGCAATATTGCAGAAAATTGAAACCAGATTGCTTCCTTATGAGATGCACAAAAATCAACACAAGATGAACTAAAGATTTAAATGTAAAACCTGAAACTATAAAAACCCTGGAAGATAACCTAGGAAATACCATTCTGGACATAGGTGCTGGCAAAACTTTGATGATGAAGATGCCAAAAGCAATTGCAACAAAAACAAATATTGATAAATGGGACCTAATTAAATTAAACTAAAAAGCTTCTGCACAGCAAAAGAAACTATCAACAGAATAAATAGACGACCCACAGATTGTGAGAAAATATTTACAAAGTGTGTATCCTGTAAAGGTTTCATACCAAGAACCTGTAAGGAACTTAAATTAACAAGCAAAATCAAGCAAACCAATTCAAAAGTGGGTAAAGGACATCAACAGTCACTTTTCAAAAGGAGACCATATATGTGTGGCCAATAAGCAAATAAAAAAGTTCTCAATACCACTAACCATTGAAGAAATGCAAATCAAAACCACAATGAGATACCATTGGAATAATCTATATTCCAAACCCCAGTGATGCACAATTACCTATATTACAAACCTGCATATATACTCCTGAAACTAAAATATAAGTTAAAAAAAAAGAGGAAGAGAATTTAGCCTATTGGAGAAAAATAAAATAAAATTAGTAATTCCAATTCAAAATACTTAGTTACATTTCAATTCAAAATGAATCACTTGATTTAAACTTTCAGTTGTTTCTTACTAAATATTTATACAATATTGAAATATTTCTAAAGATTACAGAGCATATATGTACAATTTTTTAAATGAGTATTTAAATATTTAGGAATATGTTAAAGTAGGCAATTGTAATACTTTAGGTGATAACCTGAAGGTATAAATTTACATATATAGTCTGAAAGGGCTTAATTAGCTAAGTGCATAATAAATTTGAAATTTAACTAAAGTCCCTAATGTTAAAACTGCTAAAATGTACTAGGCATAAATAAAATAATGTTTCTGAGAAAATCCTGCTATTGGAATTAACTATTTTTAAGATAAGTTAAATAGTAAATTATAAAACCATAGTGAACTTGGGTATGAAAGCCATTATCTGTAATCTTTAAATGAAGCTTTATGCAGAATAATGTTTGGGAAGTTAGAAGTCTCAAGATACCATTTTTTGGGGAAAAAAAAAGCAAATAATTAAATCGAGCCACTTATTTTTCTTTGTAAAATTACCCTTTTGATCCTTCTAATTTCAGCCTACGACATTATATTCCAGTGATTTTTATGTGTTTTCATGTTGAGACACAAAAAATTTTTATTTTTTACTTTAAAAATGTTAATTCTCTATAGAAGATAAAATTTTTGATGTACTTCTTTGTTCTTACACCTGAATTTAGACTCAGTAGAAGTAAAATGAGAACTTCTACACTTCCCTGCCAAAATATTTGAAATTCTAATCTACTGATGAATTATATTGCAAAAGTAAAAAAATAAATAAAAGGAAATACTTAGTATTAAAAGGAAAAATAATCAGAAAATACCAGGTAAATATTCACAGGAGGCTCCTTATAATCACTAGGCACAATCAAAATCTGTAAATGTTACCTCATTTTTTTTTTTCAGATATATAGACAAAATGTGTTAATGTTAACTCCGTGAAAGGAAAATAAAATCTTGGGACACCAAACTCACTATGCCAATGGGAACAGTTAAGCTTTGAAACTGAGTAACTCAAAAAAGCTAAAAACTGCCTTTCATTTTGTTTCTAAACAGATAGCTGCAAGATAGAAGGCACACATCCCCTCAGGTGGCCTCCCTCACATTGGCAATGTAAATTAACACCTTATCTTCACAGCAATGGTAGAAAGACAGATTAGAAATCATTTTTTCACCCACCCTAAGATGACAAAGCCATGCTTGACTTTTTCCTCTACTCTATGTTCATCTTATGTAAAATGCAGATTTGGTGAGCTCATGAGATGAAAGCATAATTGACTGCCACCTCCTTTCTCACGTAACATGTGGATTCAGGGAGTGCAAATCAAAGGCTCACAAGAATGTCACTGCTTATATCATTACGCACCATCTCTTTTTTTATTTTCTACTTCTCTTCCTGCCTCCTTTTTCCCCTTTTAATACTGAATTTCTCAAAAACCTCTTTGGAAAAGGAATGGATCACAGACACTACTGTAATTTGTGTTTTTTTCTCCCATGGGCACGTCCTCAAGCTTTGCAAAATAAACCTCTAATTCATTGAGACTTGCTTTAGTCATTTCCTTTAGTTTGCAACTCTTTTAATTGCATCATTACATCATTTTAAAAATCTTCATATTAACTTATTATTAGCACTCTTAACTTCTCTTTTGTTAAAGTAAACATTATTTTTAGGAGATTAATAAAGAATTTCCATATTAGTTATAGTGACTTCTCAAAATGTATGTAAGTGCTAATTTTAACTCTTCCTCAAGTTACACAATGATATATATATAGGCCTAATGTAAATCACACTCATCTTAAAAAATAATATTTTTGCTTTTATATTAAATTTTTATAAATTATTAAAAATACATTAGTAATTTATGAAAATATACATTTCTCTAAAAAAATACATTTTATTAAGTAAAATTGTCTGCAATTAGCTATGATTAAAGTGACTACTGTTAAAATAATATAACAGCATTTACATAAGTTACAGATTATTATATTATTCACATCATTATTGTTTTATTTAATATTTTACTTTGTATTAAAGTCTTTATAGTGCTCCTCTGATTAGCTAGATAACAAGAATAGTAGTCAAAGTAAACACTTTCAGTAATTATTTATTAATAGCTAATCCCATTAAGTTATTTTCAAAGACAGAACATTTGTAGTTTGTATGATTATAATTTCATAAATTCATCAGACATTGCTGAGGGTTGCAGAATATGTCACTTATATGGCATAAGGATTATACCGAGCTGAAAGTAAATGAGAAGAAGCAGATACAAGAAAAACTCCTTCTATTTGACTAAATGAACAACACAAATTTGTAAAGGTGTCCTTCATCCCTTCTCTACAAGAAAAAACAGCTTTAATCACAGAGAAAACCCTAGACTCTTAATAGCCCAAAGAGAGGACCAGAAGAATTTACATAGTAAACTTCACTAGCTAGCCTTATCTTCCATAAGTTTCTCCCATATATTTAACTTCCTGCAATTTGTAACCTTAGAAACTCCAAAGTCCTTCTCTCTAAGAATTTATTTTTCTTTCATTAAGATGCTGTATATGCCCAAGTTGTCATCAGCCCTTTGAGTTAGTCCTGAGTGCTTCCATATGAATGAGTAATGCAATGTTAATAAACTTGTTTGCTCCTCTCTTGTTACTCTGTCTTTCTGCACTGTAATTTGCATGACCCCAGCAGAAGAACCCAGGAGGGATAGAGGAAAATAACTTTTTTCTCTCCTATATAGCGTAATATTTTTTTTATCTATATACACATTTTCTTGTTTAAAAATATTAATTAGTTCAATTTATCATTTTATCTATTATTTATCTTTCCATTTACTTAATAAGTTAATTGAGTGTTTTTCAAAGTAAAAAATATCAACAGTAATTATTATAAAGTATTATATACGGCCATTTTCCAGTTTAGCAAATTAAGTTATAGGAGTCCTAAAAATTTGCATTTCAGATAAAAAAAGAACATTATTTTATTTAGTATAAGTGTGCCTCATGCAATATTTGGGTATACTTAATACTAAAAAACAATCTGAAACTCAGATTCAATTGTGCTTTTCTTGCTTATAAAACTTATATTTTCTATCTAGCCATTTTATTTTTGAGTGCATAGAAATATTCCTATACCTGAATAACGTGCTTTACAAATTCTCATATAAGACATTCTTACCTCATGACCTCCGTGTATTATACATAGATTTAAAGTATTAATCAAGACAAAGCTTTTTTTTAAGTACTCAAAGTATACTAGTACTACTGACTGCAGTAATAATCCTATTCTTCAAATAGCCAAATTATTTCCTGACACAATCTTTTCACTCAGCTCTCTTTTTTGATATCCAGGGGCCTAAGAACATCTACAATAATTTAAACAGCATGTCTGTGAGGTGTGCATAACTTCAAGAGATTTAATTTATACTTCTTTTACTATTGAAGAAAGGGTGAACATTCCCTCATTAAGCAAGCTGATGTTTTCAAACACTAAGTATCTAATCTAAGTCATAGAGCTATGCAGCCGATAGATTCTACAAGGATTGAGTGAAATACAAATAAATACATGAATAAACTATAAAAAGTAAATATAAACATTATTTGATTATAAATAAACATAAATAAAATCTGTTTACCAATTATCTTTACATTGAAAATAGCATTTTATACCTTATAAATGTTATTTGACAATGATGAAACAAAGATATCATGCTACAAAGGAACATAGCCTTAATTTTCAGTATTGAAAATGAAGTTATCCAAAAATAGTTTGAATGTCTTAATTTCAAGTAACTATTTCCACATTTTAAGACGTTATGTTTAAAGTTAACATATTTAACATGTAAATTATGTATTTTCCATTCAAACACATTTTTTATTATGTATAATATAAAAATAATCCTAGAATCTTCTGGAACAAGTACCTTGTAATTTATTATTGATTAAGTATCTATTATAGATCTATGCTATTCTAAGTTAAGATACTATTGCTTCTGGATTCTTATATTAACATTGATTTCATAGGCATTCTTCTTTTGAACTTCAGACATTCAAATACAAATTCTCAGCACAAACAGAGTGATGTAACCATTAACAAATTTTAAACAAGATGGATTTTTTCAAATTTAGAAAATCCATAAACATACGGCTTGTTCTGTTGTTATCACAAAGCACAAATTTTAGAGACATTTCACATTCTTGGGACAACTGTACGAGAGCAACTGCAAAAGCTTTTATTTTTTATATAGCTAATAGAGAAAAATACGAAATATTCTTAAAAAGTTTACCTGTTCTAATAAAAAATACATATATTTTATATTTTTGATAAGATCTTTACCTTAAGGAGTTAAAATTGTAAAAGCTCCAGTCCGGGCGCAGTGGCTCACGCTTGTAATCCCAACACTTTGGGAGGCCGAGGCGGGCGGATCATGAGGTCAGGAGATGGAGAGCATCCTGGCTCACATGGTGAAACCCCGTCTCTACCAAAAATACAAAAAAATTAGCCGGGCGTGGCGTCACGAGCCCGTGGTCCCAGCAACTCGGGAGAATCGCTTGAACCCGGGAGGCAGAGGTTGCAGTGAGCCGAGATCACACTACTGCACTCCAGCCTGGGCGACAGAACAAGACTCCAACTCAAAAAAAAAAAAAAAAAAATTATGCAAGCTCCATAAAAATATCTTTAGTTTTTTTTTTATGGATTGAAATTATACTATTTTAAAAATTATAATATAATATTAATTTAAGAAGACATATAGCTATAGAACCAATTTCGTGCAAAAATTCTATGCAAGATGTCATTACTATATCACAATGTCTGCTCCGCTATCTTAAAAATGTCAATAAATGAGCCACTTTTTGAAACTTATAACTCACTAGGAATACATCCATAATATATAAGAAGTGAATAATCTATTCTCCCACTAAGGCTCCATACAAACAAATTATGCCAGTCTAAACTGTGGAATATAGCGTAATAGATACCGAAATAGATTAAGCTAAACATCATTAAAAGAGACACACAACTTTCTTTTAAACTCACAGTAAATAAAAAACTAGAAAATGCCAGGAACACTTATATCAGGAAAATTGTCAATATTAAAATGGGCAATTAGGATATCAACATTCTATTGCATAAAATTACATGTACTTGAAACTATTTTTATAAATATCAAACAAGGTAGCATTTCTATTAAGAAATATGCTTTTATCTGCAGGCATATTTGAAACAGAAAATGTATGTTATCATCTGCTATATAAAGTGTTGATAACAGCCACAACTTATTACATGGTCACTTGATGCCAGGCAGTATGAAATGCTTACAAAATATGTAATTAGTCAGGGTATGCTAACTGCCATAACAACTATTTTAAAATATCGCTGGCTTAACATCACACATTTTATGGTTCACTCATATTATAGTGTAATGGGGTTGACAGGGGAGACAGCAAGGAATAAGCTTCTACCTCATATATTCATTCAGAGACCCATTTGCCTTCCACCTTATGATATGTAACCATTTTTTAACATGTTACCTCTAAGGTTTACATTTGTGGGAAGAGAAGAAAATGGAGAAAGCCTATCCTCTCCTAAATACCTGAGCCCAAAACTTCTGTACCTCATTTTTGCATTTTCCATGACAAGAACTAACCACATGACTCTACCTACATGTAAAGAATCAAATAATCATATTGTAAAAGTTTGTCCAAGAAGAGACTGTGTGTTCGGTGAGGACCTAGACAATCTCTGCCACATGCCTATTATCTCAAGTAATACCTTATAATATTCTTACGAACAATATTATAAATAGGAAGTAGATATTTTCCCCAAAAGCTGAAAAACATAACCAAAGATTGCCATGTTTGTAGATCTATGACAGAATTACATTTTGCAAGAATAACTTGGCCATAGGAAAAAATACCTAATAACAGAATAGCTGACTAGTTAGTTCAAAATGATTGAAAATATGAATGTTAACAAATGTTTGACTTGGTCTGAGGGTTTGTTTTAAAGAAAAATGTTTATGAGGTTTCATAAGAAGTTATCACTTTGGGGTTCTTGACCTAGCAAATTGAAAAAGACTATCTGGATGAATATTAAAGTTTTTTCAGTCCATTATAACAATATCTCAATGGTTCCTCATTCTCACAGACTCAATGCCCTTTTTGTATAATAGATATTTTGTACTGTGCCAACAGTTAATTAACAAATAATCTATACTATATATATACATGTATGCGTATTTTTTTAAAAGCCAATACAGTAACATAGTGAAAAAGAAAAATTAATGTATAATAAAATAATATGTAATTCAGTGTGTAAACTCTTGAACACAACTATAATAAAACAGCAAGTTGCTTGCACACACATATGGGAAAATGTTTGTATTTTTAAAATACACAAATCAACCTGCCAATACTTTCCCTTTCTATTTGGCATTTTCTGATAAATAAGAACTTTTTATAGTAACAAGAGTAGTGCTGCCATTTGTGATGGCTAATTTTATGTGTCACATGAATCGGTCACAGAGTGTTCAGATATTTCATCAAACATTATCTCTGTCTTTCTGTGAGGATGTTTTTGGATGACATTAATATCTAAATTGATGGACATTTTTTAGTAAAGCAAATTGCCCTCCTTATTGTGGGTGGGCCTCATCCGATCAGCTGAAGCTCTGAATAGAACAGAAAGCCAGCCACCTCTGAGCAGAAGGGAACTCTTCAGCAGATTGGCTTCAGGCTTCACGTGTAACATTGGTTCTTCCTGGGTCTACAGCAGACAACCTTCAGATTCAAACGTGAAAATTGGCTCTTCTGGATCTCCAGTCTGCTGGACTACTCTTGCCAGCTTCCATGGTCATTAGAGTCAATTCCATGTAATAGATCTCTCTCTCTCGCTCTCTCTCTCTCTATACACACACACACACACACACACACACACACATAATTAGTCTGTTCTTTGGAGGACCCTAATAAACTATTGGAGATCTAATTTTTCATAATGGTGAACTATTCTTTATGACACCTAAATAAAAAAAAATTAAATTATTTGCTCAATTTATATAAGAGTATTTCTGGCAAATTTGGAGTACTTTGAAAGTATGAAACAATACTGTGTCTGTAAAATGGAAATATATGATTGTTTCAGATAATTATAACACGTTTTTAACTATAGAAATTTTGGATGACATAGAAATTAGCATAGACCATGCGTTAATCATTTATTTTTGTTACACTGTCCTACACATTGAAATACCTCTAGCTTCCATGGCCCCATTCTTTTGAATGCCAGTGGTGCTAACCAATCAACCAAAACCAGCTCCCTAAATTTTAAAAATTCCCCTTACAAGACAGTAACTCATTGTTTGGGAATCACTGAAGAAGAAAAAAGGTGATCAACTTCTTTCAAGCAAATGAGAGGAGGCTATTTTCTGGTGGTTATGTTTAATAGATAAGAAAATATATGAGAAGTAACTGAATTAATGTTTAAATTATAGCAAAACTGGCTTGTAAATGGAAAATTGAGAGACCTTCTCTATTCCCAGTGACTTCAGCCTGAATTTTTTCCTATTTTACTGAGCAGGGAGGCCTCTTATACCTGTAGGAATTCATGTAATTACTAGAACACTATCATTGCTTCCTTAGGTTTTGCCCATGTCATTCTAGGTGCCTAGCTGAGCCTCTTCACAGGTTAACACACATACACATAACACACACACACACACACACACACACACATCCTGCAATGGGAAGGTACCGTAAGATGGCTGAAATCTTTACACAACTGTCTGTCTTCAGCCTCCCCAAACTTTCCTTAATTCATGCCCTATTTTCCTACTGTCATCACTCTTTGATGAAACAGAACAATTCCTTTCTTATACAGACTATTATCCACATTCAGTCCCCCTTGAGAGATATACCTGCTTCTCAACTACTTTCCCTAACCAAATTTTGCTTTTGCAAGAGCTACTTTTAAAATCCTAGCTCTGTGACTCAAAAACAATAATAATATTCAAATGTTTATGCTACTGATAACTTTAGGTAAGTAATCCAATCTCTCTGAACTTTAGGTAAGAAACATCACCTCTGTGAATCTTTCTCTTACATTTCATATGGGAGTGTTATAATCAGTGAAAACTGGACCACAAAAGGGAAACATCACCTCTGTGAATCTTTCTCTTACATTTCATATGGGAGTGTTATAATCAGTGAAAACTGGACCACAAAAGGGAATAGATAACCTGATGATAAAGTGAAATTTACAGTCCGATTTTTCTGTTTATATATCCTTTTCATAAACATTGTTACCCTTGTGAGGTTGTTTTGAGTAAAATCTCTATCTCAGCAGCTGAGAGGCTTAGACCTCGGGCAAAAGAGCACCAGCCAGGATGCCCTTGAATGAGTCTTCTCCGGGGTATCTCACTGCCAGGGGTGAGATTCCAGGAGGCCACACTGTGAGTGAGAGGTGGCCACTTTTAAGTTCATAGGCAAATGTCTGAATGGTCACTTTAAATACAGCTGCTGTGAGAAAGTGGGGAGTACAGCTTGCTAGGTGGGAGAGAAACCATTATGTTTTCTCTCTGGCCACAGTTAAAGCCATTCTGGCGGGTATAGCATTGGAAACTGTGCCAAGGGTGGCTGAGTCCTGAGTCTGGTATGAGGAAGTGAAACATATTTAAAAATGGATGCCGAGGCAACATAAAATTATAAGCATTCACTACAGGTTGATATAGTATTACATCTCATATTTGAATAAATCCTATACTAACCATTTTGGAAACTATGAATCTACCAAGATATGATTTTCTATTGGGTACATCAGAAGCTCAGAAATGCCCTATATATAAAGCTACTGAGCTAATGGAGGTAATATCCTCTAACACCTTTTTGATTACAGTTTATTATAAAAGCTTGGAAATATTTATACTCCATATACAGAAAACACTACTGAAGAAATGTAAAAAAGAAAACATATTTATTAAAAGTGTTGCCCAAAATCTGTGTGCAATTTTTAGTTAAATTTGACTTGTTACTTAAGAATATAATATTTATGGACTGTAATTTTCTAACCTCAATATTACACAATGACAGTTTTTAATGCATTTGGTTTTTGAAATTCTAACAGAATTTCTTAGTTATCACTTCAACTTTTGTTTTAGAAAGTATTAACAACTTTTGGAATGTTTAGGACAAGTAAAAATCAATTTTTTCATCATACCTAAGAGTAAAAGGTATTCACACTATGATATTCAGTACTTCCCATCATTCTTAAATGCGTACGGAAGAAAAGCACTTTCCGAAATTGATCAACTGATGAAAAGAGCTAAAAATGGGAGAAATATTGCTGATTTCATATAAAATAAAACTCAAGAATAGGTTTTACTCCATTTTCCTTTCAGTTACATTTAACACATAGCAAAGTAATACATATTTGTTAATATATATAGAAAACATTTTAAGGATATTTATAATACAATATTTTAGAGAGTGGTATGAGTAAAGCAAAAATTTCAAATAGCTTCAAATAATAAATATTAAATATTTTAAAGATAAACTCCAGATAAGAACCTGTTTCTCAGCAGCATGATGATTATACAAATTTTGTTTCTTGGCATCACTTTTTTTTACAATCCATACAGTAGTGTGGTCTAAGATGAAAATTTAAAAACGCAACACACATAATGGTGATTTTCTTTTGCAATCTTAAAATGCTACTTACCACTCTCATACAATAAAGTAATAGTAAAACTACTATTTGACATGGTCAAATAATTTTGTCAGACAACTTTATCAATTCATTGGTTGATATAAAGGCCAACACGTAATAATATACTTTGATTCCTGTTTTAAGCTAGTTAAGAAATGGTGATTTCGGTGTCAAAAAAAAATCATCCCCTAGGATTTTCCATTATTCAAAACATAATGTTACTATTTGTAAAACATATGCTAGCTTCACAATGAAAACTTGTTATATGTTCTTGCTGATAGTTTGATCATAAAAAAAAGAAAGGAAGGAGAGGCATTTTTTTCTGTATTTCCACATATCCATGTTGTTAATATTTATGGCAGTGGCAGCCCATTTGGAGCACTCACTGCTATGATACCAGCTGCAGTTTGGGAGGCATGGCCAGGGCTGCATGCTCCAAGAAGCCTACAGGAGCCAGAAACAGTCACATTCACTTCCAAGTTGGAAAGATGGGAGCCCCGCCCTCCTGGGCCCAGCTGCGGCTGCCCAGTTGCAGTGGCAGATTGGGCATCTCTGCACTCTTGGGGCCCTGGAAAACCCCCTGTACCAGCAGGCTCAGAAGTGCCTGTTCCCACTGCCTGGCCTCTCCTGGCTCCCAGTGCCTGCTCCAATTTCAGAGCAAAGTTGTCGTAGAGCCCAGGCACTGTCACAACCTAGCTGGGTGTGCACACGTTCGGGGCAGCACTGACACACCAGCCCCCTGCTGCCTTGGCCTCCTGCAGACTTTGGGAGCCAATGAGCATGGGTTGGAGGCTGAAGGGGGGCAAGTGCAGCTCGGTGCAGGGCTGCAGGCGCTCCTCAGCATGAACGGCCTGGGTGCCCAAGGCACCGTGAATGCAGGTGGATGGCAGGTTGTTTGTGGCAGAAGGCAGACAGGCTCCTGAGCAGAAAGGAGTGTGTCCCCATTGAAGCTCCACCTTCAGGCCAGAGAGGGCCTGAGTTCTGAAGGCTGAGCTGCTATTTCTTCTGACTGGAGTGAGAACTTAATGATGCCTTTTCTTGGCACCCCCATGGCCACCCATGGACCAATCAGCACACGCTTCCTCCCCTCTGAAGCCCATAAAAATCCCACACTCAGATAGATGATGGGACAACCTGCCTGCAGAGAGGAGACACGTACTGTGGATCTCCTCTCAGCTGAAAGCTGAGCAGACAGTGGGATGATCTGCCTGCAGAGAGGAGCTACTCACTGTGGGTCTCCTCTCTGCTGAGAGCTGAACACTCATGGGGACAACCTTCCTTTGGAGAGGAGCTACACACTGTGTGTCTCCTCTGAGCTTTTCTGTCACTTAATAAAGCACCTCTTCACCGTGCTGACCCTCCACTTGTCTGCATACCTCATTCTTCCTGGATAGGGGACAAGAAATTGGAAACCACCGAATGGCAGGGCTGAAAGAACAATAACACAAACTAAGCTGAAACATACCGCTTGCTTGCCATGTTGTGGGCAACAAGAAGGAGAAAGGAGAGAAGAAGAGAAAAGCTGTGGCTCTCCTAGCCAGACCTAGAAGCACCCCAAGCCAGGGCTGTTACATCCTTTTGGGGGCTCTGCAGTTCCTGGCATCTGAAAGCTTCTGGCTGCCACCATGTTCCCTGGTGCCTGCCATGGAAGCTGCTTGTGGCACACCTGGTCCAGCTACAGTCTCACAGGGAGCTGGCACCTGTGCTGGCACCTGGAGCTGCTCACCCTGCCATAATTGGCATGCCTGGCTATGCACAGTGGCCAGATCCCACACTTGAGATCCAAGCCAGTAGTGTGAGCCAAGTGCAGCCTGCCAGGCGGAGTGGGTGAAACGAGCTCAGCAGACCCAAGCAAAATGCAGGCAAAGGTGCCACTGGCCACAGATGTTTCCATCTGGAATAGCAACACCCCAAGGATCTTGTGACAACATTACTTATGAAAATACACAATTTAATTACATTTTTAGATTTCATGTAATCTTGATGTCATGTAGAAATGTCAAATGAGTGGAAGCCAGTGCCATTTATATAATAATACTGGATACAAAGTAATATTATGGTACCACCATTACCATAGTTCTGAGCTATTCTTTGCAAGGAAACTTATTCTTGTTAAATCATTAGATTGAAAAAAGATTAATAATGGTAAATCCATTTCTAGTTTGTATTTAAGGCAGAAAGTATCCTTTTTTTTAACTAAACAGGCTTATAATATTACTACTGAAGCCCATGAGAGTAAATATTCCAGAGAGTTTTTGAAATCAAGGCAAAATCAAATGTTAAGGCTACAATATCGTGGAGAGGAAGATTGTAGCATGAACCAAAATTCATGAAACTCAGCCATAATGTTATCAGCCAACATTGTGCAGACAGGAGGAAGAAAGTTAAATAGATACAAGTCCCTCAAGTAAAAAGGTAGCAATCTAATACAAGCAGTGCTAGACAAGATAGATTTGACATTTATAGAAGAGAATCTAGATCTGATTCAGTAAAGAGAAGCCCCTGAAACATCTCCTAATAAAGTTTATCAACATTCCTTAATGCAGAGGTACTACTCACTCATGACAGAACAGTCTGAGCTTTCTTTTAATTTTAACATTTAACATTTTAATATTCACTTAGACATTTCAGTATTTATGTATGCTTTATGGCGTGAGGTACGGTAATTTCCAAACTTTCCTTAAAAAATCCATTCCAAGAAAATGGCTTTTCGACTTTTGTTAGATATAGATTGTTGAAGTCTAAGGACCATCCTGACAAGTATAATCAAGATGCCATACCCTTCTGGTGAAACTACAAATGCCTTGGAGAGTTTAATAACAGATTTATTTAAATATTTATCAAAGATGTAGAATTATTATATTACTCAATGTTTATTCCTTTCAGACAAAAATCATGTAGACTAATCTGCATATACTCCAATACATCAATGACTTTTTTCAAAACGCAGGCAGTTGTGCACACTAAAATTTCTCTACATTATCTTTTAACGGATTCAAGTACATTTTTAAAATAATCTTTAGAACAACAGTTTTCTTGAGGAAACATGATAACTATGTCCTCCAAGAGACAAAAGGTAAAGCAATTTTCATTTTGCCATATATCTTAATTTTTGGTGGCATGAACCTGTAGTCTTAGTTACAGATGAGGCTGAGGTGGGAGGTTTGCTTGAGCCCAGATGATTGAGGCTGCTGTGAGCCATGGTCATGCCATCATGCCACTGCACTCTAACCTGGGTGACAAAGTGAGACCTTGACCCCAACAACAACAACAGCAACAATAACAAAAACAAAATCTTAAGTTTTTCCAAAAATTGTTTTTCATTCTTCGTGATATTTCTTTTACTTACCAAAGTTAGTTAGCATCTGTTGTATGTTAAGCACTGTGTTAAATTCTAAAAAAAATAGTAAAGTCATCACTTTCTTTTTGTCACACAATATTAGACACCAAAAATATGCCATATTGTCAGGGAAAAGTAGCCTGGCAAGATGGTTGAAAGGAAGCACTCTGGTCTTTTTTGATAAAAAGCACACAGAAGTAGTGATTCCTAAATGAAATTCAACAGCTAGAGAACAAGTCTAAATGAGAACAAACTAACTTAATCCCATATCTAGTGTACGCAGAGGTTCCAGAGCTCCTCTTTGGTGCCATGTCCCAGGGATAGAAATACTATGAGCAAAAACTTAGGCAGAAGGTGGAATGGGTATGTGATCTAGGTTTCCTATGAGGATATTCAAGGGGATTCCCCTAAGGATACCCCAGAAGTTTGTAAAGCTCTGTCTCAGCATTCTACTGCCTACAATAAAAAATATGTAATCTGTTCTTTCTGAAGAACTGCTCGGAATTCCATTCTCTATAAGAACTAGTTAATTAATTTTCTACCTCTACAATTATATAACACCTTCACTTGAATACAGGATCAAGAATATTGGAATAACCTCATGAAGAGTATGAATTAACAGTGCATGCACATAAGGAAGATGATTACTCCCAAATCTGATCGCACTCCCTAACATCCAGACTCCTAGCCCAACCTTTCAATTTACAGTTTTTCTGAGATACAAAAAAAAAAAAAAAAAAAAAGGAAAAGGTAAGCAGATGGAAGAAACATAAAGTACTGAAAGAATATGGAGGTAAATAGTACAAGCTAAACCTCTTGCCTTATTGAAATTGAAGGGAAAAATTAGAGAAAAAAGTCCTAAAGCAATAAAAAAATACTATTATGTCTAGCTACATATCTTAATATTTAAACCTTTGACACAAAGTACAATATTTACATTTAAAACATGCATATGAATAGTGTAAAAATGTAGTTTATAACTTGTAGCACTATGCAGCCTCAGCAGCAGGGCAGTGGTTGAGATTAGGGTCTTTGAACAAGGCTGTTTGGAGTTAAATTCTGGTTCTGAAGCAAGGTTTTAAATCTCTCTCTCTGTTGGTTTTCTTAATTCTAACTTGAGAATAGTAAGAGAACCTACATCATACAGTGGTTATGAAAATTTATACATGCAGATTTGTATAAATTGGTAAGTGGAAAGCATGATAAATAATAAGCATTGGGCCAGGCGTGGTGAATCACTCCTATAGTCCCAGCACTTTGAGAGGCCAAGATAGGCAGATCACGAGGTCAAGGGGTCGAGACCAAGCCGGGCCGGTGGCTCACGCCTGTAATCCCAGCACTTTGGGAGGCCGACGCGGGTGGATCATGAGGTCAGGAGATCGAGACCATCCTAGCTAACACGGTGAAACCCCATCTCCACTAAAAATACAAAAAATCATCCGGGCGTGGTGGCGGATTCTTGTAGTCCCAGCTACTCGGGAGGCTGAGGCAGGAGAATGGCGTGAACCCGGGAGGTGGAGCTTGCAGTGATCAGAGATTGAGCCACGGCACTCCAGCCTGGGTGAGAGACCGAGACTTCGTCTAAAAAAAAAAAAAAAAAAAAAAAAAAAAAAAAGAGGTCGAGACCACCCTGGCCAACATGGTGAAGCCCAGTCTCTACTAAAAATACAAAAATTAGCTGGGCGTGGTGGCGCATGCCTGTAGTCCCAGCTACTCAGGAAGCTGAGTCAGGACAATCACTTGAACCTGGGAGGTGGAGGTTGCAGTGAGCTGAGATCGCGCCACTGCACTGCAGTCTGGCAATGGAGCGAGACTCTGTCTCAATAATAATAATAATAATAATAATAATAATAATAATAAGCATCGAAGAAACACTACGTGTATTATATAGAAAACCTCATTAGGCATTATACTAGATAATACCTTTAATAAGTGGTGCGAAAATCTTAAAGATCATTCATGACATACGTTGGCTTACCATAAGAATAAAAAAAGAAAATAATTCATTGGAAAGTGATAGAATACTTCTCATATTTTAAAGAGCAAAATTCTAATTTTATTTAAAATATTTTAAAATTGATATATATAGTAGTTTAAAAATGGCAGTTGTTTATACACAAATCTCTTACACAGAATTTATGATTAATGCTCATTAATTCACTTACTTCTGAAGAAATAAATAAAAAAGAAGAGAGAAATTTTGAACCTCTTACTCTTGAGTAAGAAACTGTGCTCCTGAATGTTTCAATAAAATAGAAAAGTGAAAACAAAGTTTCAAGGAGAGATTTTTAAAATTTCAACTTTGTAGCTAATGTAAGGTCAAAAAGTTTCCTATTATTGGGTTCTGAGAGTGAATATAAACAAGATTATTACTGGAATTTTAAGAATCAAAAAAGGCGTATGTATAAGAAGTCATTTGTTTTTTCCTTCTGAGTTTCCTTCTACCAGATTTTTTTTTTTAATCCATTTCCAAACATTCTCCCCAGCATTTCTAAAATTTCCCAGGGGAAATAATATGAACTTAAATTAAAGGCATACAACAGTTATCATATCTAGTAAGTTTTTGGAGATCTCAGCAGAGAGGGTGATATGATATCACTGTAAAACGCCTTGGGAAAAGAAAATAGAAAAAATAAACCCAGGTTTCCTTTTTAACCATTAACATTCTAAGTAAAATCACACAATCTGTTGAAAGTTGCAATTGCGCACCAAGAATTTATCTACATTTATCCTTTCTTAACACCATTACCCCTTAGGCCCCAACAAAACACATCAGCACGTTTGCTGTTGCTTTAGAAGAAAGAAATATGCCTTCACATATTTCCATCTGAACAGAGTCTATGCTCTGTTTCAATAAAGAATTGCCCATCCATGTTAACAAACATTTGGGACCTTATGCAATTACTTATGTTCTAAACAGTATTCTGGAAAGATAAAAGAAGCACCATTTTAAAGTATCAATATATCTGCCCATCTTGTGTTTCTTTAGGAGATAGAGATGACATCACAGGAATATCTGAGCTCTACATCTGCAGATTTAAAATTCATTTGCCGAGAATCCAGAAGATGAAGAATCAATGTTATTATCTTTTTAATTCTCAAGTACATTCTAAACAATAATTCCCTGACCTTACAAATATTGTTGCAAACAAAGTTGTTCGATCAAGCTGCACAACGAAATTTATTTGCTCTCCCCTTCATTTATCAATGCCGGCATTAATTTATTCCCTTCATTTCTACTTCTTGGATCTCTAATTTGTCTAGACCTATTGCTACTCTTGGGCTAAAAAAATGAATAGAGAATTCTAAGTTAGTGCATATTTATGCAAGTTTTTTAAAAAGCATATTTTGATTTGTAACTAAAGCCACAGAAAGCATCTTTTAAAATCAAAAGATAAAGCAGCCTTTTCAATACATAGTCTATTTGAACGAATAGCTATATTGAACTTGTGGCTAAAATTGTTTCCTATAATACCTGATAAAAATGGACCAGAAACTGCTGCTGTCCCTAATTCACAAGTTTGTTGTGAGGATCCAAAATTGTAATATATATAAAAAGCACTTTAAAAATCATAAAACATTCTGCCTAGGGATGGCATAGCCATTACTATAAATAAACCTATGATCCACTTCTCTTGACTATCCAGTGAAAACAGGAGAAAAGCAAGGCTAAAATTAAATATAGCAAATATACATCTACCCTCCAGAATGGGCAATAATGTACTCTGCAGCCGGGCTCTATAAAAGGAAGAAAATTTTCCTTTCTCTGCTGATGGCACTTTCCTCTGCATGTCTTGCCATCAGTTCAGTTAGCATCATTTATGCATGCAATCATTTCCTCCCCATTTGGCTTATTCTACAAGACATTATTTTAGATAAATTAATGAATATAAAGACATCTGAGATACAGCTGAGGCTATCAAGGTGCTAAAATATATTAAGAACCAATAGGCCATAAGCACAAATAACACATTATAGAAAATATTTTATGTTAGTTTGTTTAGTTCATTTTCTTAGAGAAGATGGAGCATGAGCTAATCCTGAAAAGAAGGGAAACATTTTTTAAGGAGGAGGTGAAAGTAAAGAGCACTTAGGTGAAAGAAATGGTATAGAGGTAGGAAGAAGCAGGACCTATTTAAGAAGCAGTGAAATCTGTTCTTCCTGGGGCAAAGGTGTTATAAAGGGAATAATACTGGAAAAGCTTGCATGCACAGAGTAGTTTTAAGACATGAAGTTTGAATATCAAGCTGTGGACTATGTCACATGTACATGGACAAATTTTAGGTAACATGACCAATGTTAGCAATGTCACATCTCTAAAAGCATTTAAAGGGTATAGTGGCAGGCTTCTGTACTCTCAGTTGCTAGGGAGGCTGAGGTGGGAGCATCCCTTGAGCTTAGGAGTTCAAGGCTGCAGTGAGTCATGATTGCGCTACTGCACTCCAGCCTGGGTGACAGAACTAAACCTGGTCTCAAAACAAAACAAAACAAAACAAAAAAACCCAAAAGAATGAACCTAACTGTGTTGGTGTACTCCTGAGGACCTGAGGATGTTTCTCAGAGAATATTTATTCTTCCGTTACTAAAAGTAACAGCCTCATAAAATGAGTTAGGGAGAAGTCCCTCCTCCTCAATTTTTTGGAATAATTTTAGCAGGAATGGTACCAGTTCTTCTTGGTACATCTGGTAGAATTTAGCTGTGAATCCATCTGGTCCTGGGCTTTTTTTTTGTTTGTTTGTTTGGTAGGCTATTTATTACTAACTCAGGTTTAGAGTGTGTTATTGGTCTGTTCAGAGATTGAATTTCCTCCTGGTTCTGTCTTGGGAGGGTGCATTTATTGTATGTGTCCAGGAATTTAACTATTTCTTTTAGATTTTCTAGTTTATGTACATAGGTGTTCATAATATTCTCTGATGGTTGTTTGTATTTCTGTGGTGTCAGTGGTAATATCCCCAATGTCGTTTTTGATTGTGTTTATTTGAATCTTCTCTCTTTTCTTCTTTATTATTCTAACTAGTGGTCTATATATTTTATTAATTTTTACAAAAATAAACAGTTCATGGATGTGTTGATCTTTTGAATGGCTTTTTGTGCTCAGTCTCATTCAGTTCAGCTGGGCTTTTGGTTATTTCCTGTCTCCTAACTAGCTCTGGGATTTGTTTGCTCTTGGTTCTCTTCTTTTTTTTCTGTGATGTTAGGTTGTTAACTATCATCCTGATACTAAAGCCTGGCAGAGACACAACAAAAAAAGAAAACTTCAGGCCAATATCCTTGATGAACATCAATGCAAAAAATCCTCAACAAAATACTGGCAAACTGAATCCAGCAGCACATCTAAAAGATTATCCACCATGATCAAGTAGGCTTTATCCTGGGATGCCATGTTTGTTCAACATACCAAAATCAATAAATATGATTCATCATGTAAACAAAACCAAAGCCCCAAACTATATGATCATCTCAATAGATGCAAAAAGGGCTTTTGATAAAATTCAGCACTCCTTCACGTTAGAAACATTCAATAAACTAGGTATTTAAGGAATATACATCAAAACAATACAAGCAAACTATGACAAACACCCAGCCAAAATTATACTGAATAGGCAAAAGCTGGAGGCATTCCCCTTGAAAATTAGGACAAGACAAGGATGCCATCTCTCACTACTCCTATTCAACACAGTATTGGAAATTCTGGCCAGGGCAATTGGGCAAAATAAAGAAATAAAGGGCATCCAAATAGGATGAGAGAAAGTCAAACTATTCCTTTTGCAGATGACAGAATTCTATATATAGAAAACCCCACAGTCTCAGCCCAAAAGCTCCTTTAGCAGATAAACAACTTGAGCAAAATTTCAGGATACAAAAGTCAATGTTCAAAAATCACTAACATTCCTATACACAAACCACAGTCAAGCCAAGAGCAACAACATGCTCTAAAACTGACTTAATAATAAATAGCCTACCAACCAAATCAGGAACGCTATCTCATTCACAATTGCCACAAGGACGAATACAATAACTAGGAATACAGCTAACGAGGGAGGTGAAGGATCTCTACAGGAGAATGACAAAACACTGCTCAAATGAGTCATAAATGTCACAAACAAATGGAAAAACATTCCATGCTCATGGATAGGAAGAATCAATATTGTTAAAATGGCCATACTGCCAAAAGCATTTTATAGATTTGATGCTATTCCTATTAAACTACCATTGACATTCTTCACAGAATGAGAAAAAAAATTAAATTCATTTGTAACCAAAAAGAGCATGAATAGCCAGGGCAATCCTAAGCAAAAAGAATGAAGCTGGAGGCAGCATGCTACCTGACTTCAAACTATGCTACAGGGCTACAGTAACCAAAACAGCACAGTACTGGTACAAAAACAGACACATAGACCAATGGAATAGAGTAGAGAACCCAGAATAAGGTCACCAAACAAGCAATGGAAAAGAGATTTTCTACTCAATAAATGGTGCTGACATAACTAGCTCACCACATGCAGAAGATTGAAGCTGGACCCCTTCCTTACACCATATACACAAATCAACTCAAGATGGATTAAAGACTTAAATGTAAAATCCAAAACTATACACATCCTAGAAGAGAGCCTAGACAATACCATTCTGGATATAGGAATGGGCAAAGATTTATGACAAACATGCCAAAAGCAATTGCAACAAAAGCAGAAATTGAAAAATGGGATTTAATTAAGCTAAAGAGCTTCTACACTGCAAAGGAAGCTATCAGCAGAGTGAACAGACAACATATAATGGGAAAAAATTTTTCGAAACTATGCATTTGACAAAGGTCTAATATCCAGCATTTATAAGGAACTTAAACAAATTTATGAGAAAAAAAAACCCATATAAAAGCATTCAAAGGACATGAACAGACATTTCTCAAAAGAAGACATTCATGCAACCAAGAAACATATGAAAAAAAGCTCCACATCACTGATTATTAGAGAAATTCAAATAAAACCACAATGAGATATCATCTCATACCAGTCAGAATGGCGATTATTAAAAAGTCAAGAAACAACAGATGCTGGTGAGGTTGTGAAGAGAAAGGAACACTTATACACCGTAGGTGAGAGTGCAAATTAGCTTCAACCATTGTGGAAGACAGTGTGGCAATTCCTCAAAGACCTTAAAAATCGAAATACCATTTGACCCAGCAATCCCATGATTTGGTATTTGTAGATACCCAAAGGAATATGAATAGTTCTGTTATAAAGACATGCACACACATATGTTCATTGCAGTACTATTCACAATAGCGAAGACATGGAATCAACCTAAGTGCCCATCAGTGGTAGACTGAACAAGGAAAATGTGGTACATATGCACCATGGAATACTATGCAGCCGTAAAATTTAATGGAATCATGTCTTTTGCAGGGACATGGATGGAGCTGGAGGCCATTACCCTTAGAAAACTAGCAGAACAGAAAATCACATCTTCTCACTTCTAAACTAAAGGAACAGGAAATCACATCTTCTCACCTCTAAGTGGGAGCTAAATGATGGGAACACATGGACACAGAGAAGAACAACACACACTGGGGCCTATTCGAGGGTGCAGGGTGGGAGGAAGAGAGGAGCAGTATAAATAACTAATAGGTACTAAGCTTAATACATGGCTGATGAAATAATATGTTCAACAAGCCTCCACAACACGAATTTACCTATATAACAAACTTGCATATGTACCCCTGAACTTAGAATAAAAGTCAAATTTTAAAACTTGCTGCTAAATTTAATTTGTTGTAAATTTTCCTTTTAACACCATATTCTCTGTCTCTCTCTAGATAGACAGGTGATAGTTGGATGGCTAGATAGATATATAAATATTATATATACATACTTACCTATATATATTATATTGTTAAAGTGATAAATCTTTTGAAAAGTAACTACCAACTTCTAAAAGCAGCTTACAAAATGTAGCATAACTGGTAATGTGCTTACTTTTCTAAATGTGTTTTCCCCAACAGGAGAGAGATTCATAATAATATATGACCTATCACTTGGAAGGTTTTAAGATAATGTGATTCTGTTTATAACTAGGGATCTCCACCATTTTCATCTTGATGAAGGCTTAACTTCTAGAAAAGCAAAACATCGTAATTAGAATTATATCAATTTTCATTAATAAATGAAAAAATTGACTGTAAAGAACACACATATTAATTCTAAGTAAAAGTTCCCAGATAATGTCCTTGCTTTTCACATTTTTCTATTTAATTTTGTGACTTATTGTTATGAGGATCAGTTGTTATCACCATAAATGTATCAACTACGGTATTCATCTCAATACAAGTTTTGTTAGTGATAAAAACTAATATTATTAGTGATAAGTAAAAATGCCATTGAGGCTATTATTGATTCTTTTAAATTGATTCTATTACATATATGCTTTCCTTGGCTAATTTTTGCATCTACTATTTTTAGAGAAACACTTTAGCAATATTTTTGCCAGTAACTGTATATACTTATATGTTCCACTGGCTTCAGTTTTATTTTTACTATTTCAGTAAGTAATACTCACCATTCCTATAATACTTTAGAAATATAAAAAGAAGAGTCAAAATTTTAATGTTACAATGCTTTTGTTTGGGGAGCAGTAATCAGCTTTCTATTGTTAATGTTACATCACATTTTTGGTGGAAAAATAACAGTACATTTCTAGTATTATTTTACAAAGATTTCTGGAAATAGCAAAATGAGGGAAAAGCAATAAAACTTCTATGAATATATAAAAATAACTTAACATCACAAATCTCCAAAGATTTAAAACAGTGACTTAACCAACCTATAGCATCACTTGTGGATCATCAAAATGGAAGGACATAAAGGCTATGATTATGTGACAAATTCAATTTGTTTTTTTTTGAAAAAAAACAGTATTAATTTATATTTACGTTTTGTAAAGTGTAATGCTGTTAATTCATGCTTTTAAAATCAGGAAAGAAAGCAGGGAAAGCCTCTGTCACTATTATCTTTCAATTTTTTAATAAGAAGACATGAATATTCTTATAAACTTTGAAATAAAATAGCAAAACTTATTCATACTGTATACTATATGATCGAATACCTAGACAAGGCATGGTATTAGATGTATATATATTTGTATTTGAAATATTTATGTATTTATTTTTAAATATATGTTTATATTTATTTATATGTAACATATTTTACATAAACAATGCTATAATATACAATAGAATTTGGTACGACTACTTGAAACAAGAAAAAGTCCACAAAATCAGTAACTTATAGCTACCAAAATTATAAATGATATGGATAGCAGTGGAAATTAAAACATATATCTTGTACTTTAGCAATAGTCCTATATAGAGTAGTTTGTAGAGTACTAGCACAGAAATACATACACACATAAATACAGACATCAGACATTTATGTAAGTCTATAAGGAGTTTGAAAAATTACATAGATATCAAATATATACTGTAACTTAATCAAGGAAACATGGCATTTAAATTTATTGATAAAATAATAGCTGGTAAAAAAATCACAAGTGTAGAGCAATAAAACTATAAAACATAATTTGTTTTTTTAATATAGGATGAACATTCAAGGCAAAATCAGAAACAAAGAATCTATGCAATAAAACATAGTTATATTTCATGACATGTCTTAATTGGATAAAAGATATACTGCATAATGTATGCTTTAATTTCTTTTTTAATTAAACGTTAAGACAATAAAAACCAGGGAAAATATTTGTAGCATATATGACAGACAATAGGTCATATGTCTTATACCAGTAATTCTTACAAGTGTCCAATAAAATATTAAAGATTGGTAGGAAATTGAACCCAATTTATGAATGGTACACACATAAACCAAGCAATAAATCATTACTGAAAGAAAATGCAAATTAATTGATAAGTGATATGCTCTTTTCATATTAGACTAAGTAAAATTAAAAAGAATGAAAATACTTCATCAGGATTCCCATAGAAATGAAGGGGGAATGCACTCTATGTTTCTGTAGGAATTATGAATTCCTACAGTCTTTTGAGAATGCAATCTGTTAATACCTATATAAACGTAAACAATTCCCGAATTGAATATTTCCTCTTTCAGGAATCAAGCCAATGAAATTCAAAGCACTATTATCTAGGCTATATGCAAAACTATGTTTATTATCATAATTTTGTATTTGGGAAATATTGGAAACCACTTGAACATTTAAGACTACTAGAATATTTAAATAGGTTTTAGAATGTTGTGCAAATACTGCATAAAATGGGTTACATTTGTAGTTACTATCTACTAAAACATTGGTATTCACAATGTAATGTTATTTGGAGATGTTGAAGCAAAATCCTGAACATACATATATATTTAAATAAATATATTATGATATTTTCTTTTCTTTTTGGTAATGCACAAAGAAATCTATATAATTGGATGTGTTGTTTAACTGCATAAACATGGAAAAAGTTGTGAAGAAATACACAGTAACTGTTATTAATATAACTGGGGAATTATAGCAAGAGGAAATAGGTAGTTGACTAACACAAAACAAATCTGAAGAAAAGGTATAAATTATTATTTTGATTAATTGAAAAAAGAGAACCTAAAATCCCTATACAAAAAGTACATAATATATATGAAATTTAAATATGAACGTATATAAGAATTAACATATAGTATGGCCAACTGAAAATACAGATTCAATTACATTCAATTACATGATGAGAAATTGAATATTAAGGATTTTAGATTTTTGTCATTACTAAAAATACACACATAGGCAACTACCAATTTATAGTGTTTTATGACTTTTATTTTAAAGTAACACTGGATAGGACATTTCTACTCCCAATATCAATTTTCTTTTGTGATTGAAAGCATACAAATAACTATTTTTTACTCTATTTTATGTTTTGAAACACTTTTTTTTTTTTTTTTTTTTTGAGATAGAGTCTTGCTGTCACCCAGGCTAGAGTGCAGTGGTGTGATCTTGGCTCACTGCAACCTCCGCCTCCCAAATTCAAGCAATTCTCCTGCTTCAGCCCCCCGAGTAGCCAGGATTACAGGCACCCACCACCGCATCTGACTAATTTTTGTACTTTTAGTAGAGACGGGGTTTCACCATCTTGGCCAGGCTGGTCTTGAACTCCCGACCTCGTGATCCACCTGCCTCGGCCTCCCAAAGTGCTGGGATTACAGGCATAAGCCACCACGCCCAGGTTTTAAAATCCTTTCTAAACCACGTGTAAGAACTTGATATATTTTCCAAAAATAATTCTATATTCAAATATACAAAATACTTCAATAAGGAATATTTATAACGCTGTTTAAATGACACAAATATTGACTAATACATATTTTTTCAGAATACTTCTTTGAAGATTGTTTTCTCAGCGTAGCTAAAATTTACATGCAACGTTGGCATGCAGAAAGTTTAATGGCTAAAATAATTTAGTCATCACTTAGAATACATCTTAGCATGTATTTCTGGTAAGAATTACATATATTTTTGTGGATACTGTAGCTTTATGAGGGTATTCAAATTTATTGGGAAGTTCCCATTTTGAATTGGTGGAGGCTGAATTTATACAGAACAAAGCAAGTAAAATATGTAACTATCTAGTTTATAGATAGAAACAAATTGATAATATACAAGTCAGAATACTCATTCACGTCTCTGATGACCAAACTGCCGATATCATCACTAATCATCACTAATTCTCCTTTTCATTTTGTGGTGTTTATTTATTAATAGGAACACTTCCATTTTGAAACTTCCTTGAAGGAATTGATTCTCTTTAAAAGAAAAAAAAAAGAAAGAAAAGAAAACCTTAGAACTAGTATTTCCCTGGAGTATCCCATATCACTTTTCCTCTCACAGAGGAAACTCAACTCACAGAGTTTCTGATTAGAAAAAATTCTGTGAGATTTCCCTGTAGAGAAAGACCCTGCCTTGGGGAAAAGTCCCAAGTCAATGTGAGAAGCCACAAGGAAGAGAGCGTTCTCTCTAGAAATTTAAATCAGTCTTCAGGGGGAAAAAATGGAAAGGCTCACTCTATTTGACACAGAAATTTATAACAAAAGGGAAAGCTAATTCTTAAGAGACTTTGCATTTATATGTTCATTTCTAGCATTATTAAGGACATTTTTTTAAAAGAAGAAAGAACAATTATGAAATTTTAATTGCTGTTTTAAGAGATTGTGGCTAAAGATATAAAGAAAATATATTATGAGTTTATTCTTTCATTTTAAATAATTGAATTGAAAAACAATCAAATTATATAATAAAATCAGGGAATTCAGTTTTGTTAAATGAAAACATTATGGAATATATATTTTAAACAGAATATTCACTTTTATTTTAATATTTACTGCTATAATCCATGAACATAATTAATAATTTTGTTACTCTTAGGGTCTAGTGCCTTGATCTGGATAATGAATCATTTATAAAGAAGTAAACCCCAGGGAAGTATGTGTAAATCATTTCTCTACTCCATGCCTAAAGTGGTTTAGACATTTTACATTAGAATATATTCCTGGTGGGTTACATAAATTCCTGTGGGTATATTAGCCTCCAGGTAGACTTGACTGACCCTATGCCCTTTTTAATTGGAATGAGAAAATAAATTACAATAATTTTTAAATTCTAAAAATCAGGTCAGGTGCGGTGGCTCATGCCTGTAATCCCAGCGCTTCAGGAGGCCGAGGCAGGTGGATCACGTGAGGTCAGGAGTTCGAAACCAGCCTGACCCACATGGTAAAACGTCGTCTTTACTAAAAATACAAAAGTTAGCTGAGCATGGTGGCGGGCGCCTGTAATCCCAGCTATAGGGAGGCCGAGGCAGGAGAATCACTTGAACCAGGGAGGCAGAGGTTGCAGTGAGCTGAGACCACACCACTGCACTCCAGCCTGGGCAACAAGAGCAAAACTCCATCTCAGAATAAATGAATGAATGAAATTTTTAAAATCAAAAGACTAATGGGTACTTCAAAAGCATCCAGAAATCACATAATACTTATTTGTATAACCTTGATTTTCTCTTAATTTGACAAGAAAATAGAAAAATGAATCAGACTTTCCTCCAGCTTGTTTTTTTTTTTTTTTCCAGGAGGGTAAGAGGACAGTTCTATCATGGCTGGGATAGCCAAAATTTGCAAAGGCATTCTATGATTCCATTGTGCAAAAGCCAATACTAGAGCCAAAGTGTGTGGGCAATGGAATGATACCGTAAGTGACCATGTGAACCATGTAAATATCTCCCAAGTTCTCCGTACCAGAAATTTATCAAACTTTCCTTAATTTATAGCTGAAAATATTGGTAATCAATACAAGGCCATAAACACTAGGGAGTGCTGTTGGGATGGAAAGTTACAGTGGAAATAGATGAAAATCTTATGCATTTGGTATTAAAATCATCTTACTTTTGTAACTCTTACTGATAAAAAAAAAGGTAGCCATATAAGCATATTGCAAGGAAAGAACATTGAACCTTAATTTTTGTTAGCTTCAAAGTAATCTAGCTTATTACTGTAGCTATATTGATTAGAACATTTTGGAAAAATTCCTAAACACAGGCTGTCCTATAAACTGAATGATAGTTACAGAAAACAACTATCCTGGAAAATCTGGGATTGCCTTGGTTGACAAATAATTCTCCATATATCTCTCCGTGTACCTCTATATGCTTTACTATTTGTTATAACCTTAAATTTTTGTTTTGAAAAGTTTTGATTTGAAAATAAGTTCAGTACATGATAATTTCTATAATAAGCTATCAAATAAACAAAAAGAGTTGCTTTCAAATTTGGGTATCTTTTCAATTATTTCTCATACATATACAAGCTTATATAAAGATTAATGCATTATCAATATCAATAAATGTAAAGATACAGGAATTATGATAGATCCAAACTACATACAGCCATATTGGTAGCAATACAAATAGGGAATAAGTAAATTACAGTCATAATGTTTTAGAATCTTTCCTTTGTACTAAGTATCCTTATTTTAGACAGCAGTTTCTTTTCTGCCATTTTGGTTTTGTTGATGTAATCTTTTAGGTCACATTCTAAACATACCAAGAATACTGCCAGGTAATAATGGCAATTACAATGCCTAGAAATTTTACCCTACCAGTAGGTAGTGTTAAAAATCCTAATATATTTTTGAATAAGTGAATATATTTGATGGATTTTGTAGATTTAAGATCATTTTTAAGAGTCATCAAATTGATTTTATTAAAATTTCAATTCTCAGCATGGCTGGAGGTAATGGATTACTCAGAAATTTATCCTGCAATTACCTCAAGTTCAGGATAATGATATCCTTGCCAGATGCAAGACTCTTCCAAATTTTTTTTTTGATATGTTAACTTCTAATAATTTCCAATGATCTTTACCATATTATTTTAAAATTTAAGTATCAACAGTTTTCCCTAAATTGATTATACTACAAATATATCAAAACTATTTCAATAGTTCACAAATGCAATAAACTATAAAATAAAAAATACCCTTGTCATGACCATTTTAACTACCTAGAAGTAAATATTGTTATTTGTGTCCTGTTTATTCTGCTAGTTGTATTTCTCACACTTTGAAATTTAAAATAAATGAAACTATGTAAACTTTTTGACACTTTGATTTGTTTCACTTATATTAGAGATATTTTTATCTCAGTAATTTTGGTGATTTTTATAAGAACATGTATCCTGGCCGGGCATGATGTCTCATGCCTGTAATCCCAGCACTTTGGGAGGCAGAGGCAGGCGGATCAACTGAGGTCAGGAGTTCGAGACCAGTCTGACCAATATGATGAAATCCCATCTCTACTAAAAATACAAAAATTAGGCAGGCATGGTGGCATGAGCCTGTAATCCCAGCTACTCAGGAGGCTGAACCAGAAGAATCGCTTGTACTGAAGAGGTGGAGGTTGCAGTGAGTTAAGATCGCACCATTGCACTCCAGCCTGGGCAACAAGAGTGAAAATTCGTCTCAAATAATTAAAAAAGAAAATGTATCCCATTGTACAATGTAAAACAAGAAAAATGTATCCCATTGTACAATGTAAAACAAGAAAAATGTATCCCATTGTACAATGTAACATAGGAAAAAGTGTTTTCAATATTACACAGTATATTGCATCTTTCAAACCTACTCATTCATAAATAAGAATTTACTTTGCTGATTGCTATTTCCCATATTTGAGTATAATATCTGAAAGCACATTTGCTCTCTGCTTTTTAGTTTTCCTTCACTTTCTGCCATAAAATTTCCCCAGTCCAGTAATCTAGTAGTCTTCATAGAAAAACACAATAGCATTTCTTTATTTATAGATTTTCTTTAATTTATAAATGACCTTTTTAATTGAGGCACCTCTTTAGATCCCTTATATTTTGACATTGGAAGCTAGAGTCTCTCACAAAACTAGTAAATTGGCAATTTATGTTGTACTATTTAAAGGAAATAATTCACCAGTTCAGAAAAGTCAATATAAAAAGTTATTTTACATGGTATAAAATATTGATACCCTTGATGTGGTGTTGCTGTGTGACCCCCAGCCAAATCTCATCTCAAATTGTAATCCCCATGTGTTGAGGGAGAGACTTGGTGGGAGGTGATTGGATAATGATGGCAGTTTTCTCCATACTGTTCTCATGATTGTGAGTTTATTCTCAAGAGATCTGATGGATTAAAAGTCTGTGGCAGTTTCCCCCTCATTCTCTCTCTCTCATCTCCATGTAAGAAGTTGCTTGCTTCTCCATCACTTTGTGCCATAATTGTAAGTTTCCTGAGGCCTCCCCAGCCATACAGAACTGTAAGTCAATGAAACCTCTTTTGTTTATAAATTATCCAGTCTCAGATAGTTATTTATAGCAGTGTGAAATGAACTAATACAATCCCCATAATCAAAATGTGTCCAAGAATTTTCAGGTCGCACTTACACACATGAACATTAATTGAAAATTAAAAGTTTCATTACCTTTTTGAATATTTATCCCACATAAAACATGCAGTGATATGAGATTCAATTTCTCAAAGTCACAAATTTTGACTTAATTTGATCTAAGAATGAAGAAATAAATTTATAACTACTTCAAATTCCATTCTTAAACATAAATACTAATGTTTAAGTATTAGTACCAATATAGAATATATATAAAATATACCATACCAGACTTCATTATTATTTAGCTTCATGTTCTAGTTACATTTTCCATAAAGGAAGGAAACCTCCTATAGGATGGTATGATACAGTGGTTACCAATATGAATTTCATATCACACAAATTTATGTTTAAATTGCCAATTCAATACTTAAGTGTTTGCATCTATAAATAATACAATAATTTCAACTTATTATGGCCGCTAAGATTAAAAGAGATAATATATTATATAAAAGAAAGCACTCAATCCATGACAAATATTTTTAAATGGCTCAGGTTTATCTATAGATTTATTAAAAACTTTGTCATATTGTATAATCATGTAAATATTTGCCAATACAAATATTTAATTCTATCCCATTTGTATTCTTGCCTTGTTCTATACAGGTGTTAAAGGGCTTAATATTCAGAATACATGTACAGATGTGTAAATTAATGATTTGCTATTCAGAGAAAATACCTCTAGAACATTACAGTTTTTTATTTATTTTAATGCATTACAAATGAAATAACATCTATTATTTGAGAATCAATTATATATCATAGTATACTCCTTGGCAGGCTACCATCAGATTATTATTTAGGCCATAGAAGGTTACCAATCAATTCAACTGGTCCTCCAAAACCAAAATGTCTTTCCGTAAATTTTATCTTTTTTTTTTTTTTGGAAAAACAAATTTCCGCCTGTGCATGACTCAGTGTCTCATTACACCTAGCAGGATGATGAGTCCAAACTTTTCACAGATGCAGGAGGACATGCTGTGTTTTAGAAGAAATCCTACATTCTTTGTAACAATCTTGTATTATGTTTTAATTCTGTAAACTAAAAAAAAATGGTCTACAGTCAAAGCTCACTGTTAGGCATAAATTGTAATCCTTGGTACAGTGTTGGTTTAGGATGTTTGATTCTTCAAGTCACAAAACTTCAGTTGTATACACTCCAATGTGTAACTTATTAATATGTGCACACATAATATGCTATTATTCATTCATAAATATATTATTGGTTCACTTTTCTTAGAACATCCACTTTATTTTCCACTAGGAACAAGGCTGTCATACATTTTCCCCAAAACTATAACCAATAGCACATATCTGAAATATTACTTCAGATAAGCCATATGCTTAGGAGTTCATCATAAGCCCTTTTCATTTGCAAATTATTTTGACATATAAGGATATTACATGTTTAAATGAGGATTCCTACAGGCTATGTTCTAATAAACTTAAATTGTCATTTCAATTAGTTGAAATATTTCATTATAGCAGGCTCATTTTTCCCATGGTTGTATCATTGATATACTGTAGGGTCTCTTTCATTGAATATTCCTGGAAAAAAAAAGGTTAGTCTTGTTGAAATGACAGTTGGGATCATATAATAATAGAGTATTGTAGAAACATTCACATTTTGTGAAAGAAAAGCACTTAGGTTTTTAAGATTCAGCTACAGCTTGTAATGAAGATGCTGCAGTTGTAGTTGCATGTCCATTGCTCCTACTCATCATGACTAGCTGGTGTCATCAATAGCAGGAAGTACACCAGTAGCTTGAACAGAATAAGCACTAGAGTAAGGCACTAATTGTGGGCCCTTCAGAGGATAGGGACAGATACTGTCAATGGTCATAAGAAACCATTATACATATCCTACAAATATTCAATGGTCTCTATACAGGACAAAAGATGGCACTTTGATATCAATAGCAGTAAAATGTTATAAATTTAGGTCTTTGACTTTGAATGCTTCCTAATCTATTGGAGAGAGAAACAGTGCAAAGATCATGGACTATCTTTAGAAAATTTCATGCCAATGAAATTGTCCATTATTCATCAGTGACATACGCCAGAATCCGATAACTTTCCTCAGGAGCATAGCTTGAATGCAAAAGGATTTTCACCTTTTCATCTTTCCATATCTACATTTATCTATCATTTTCCAAGAAAACAAAATTACATCCAGAAAAATGTGCTTAGTTCAATTAAAAAGCACCTATTTGATGCCTAAAACATGACTTAAAGTGTTATAAATTTAGGTCTTTGACTTTGAATGCTTCCTAATCTATTGAAGAGAGAAACAGTACAGTGATCATTTTACTGTATTGTTGTAAGAGCAGGAGAACAGGCCTGGAGAGTGCTTAGATCAGCTTACAGAATCATGGAAGAGATCCCAAAGGGGATCCGAGAGCTCTTTGAAGTGAGGCTTGAATGATGCGTGAGAGTTAATAAGGCAAAGATGGGAATATGTGGGGTTTCTGATTTGTTTTAGTACAAATTTTATGTTTGATATGAATTTGATTAGAACTATTCTTATAAGTCCATCTACCAAGCAAAATCTATTGTGTTCATCATCTATATATTTATATATGTATATATACATATATATACACATTTATGTATATATACACACATATAAATACGTGTATATGTGCATATTTATATTTATAGTGTGTATATACATATATGTATGTGTATATACATATATGTGTATATACATATGTGTGTATATACATATATGTATATATGTGTATATACATATGTGTGTATATACATATATGTATATGTGTGTATATACATATATGTATATGTGTGTATATACATATGTGTGTGTATATACATGTATGTGTGTATATACATACATGTATGTGTGTGTATATACATACATGTATGTGTGTGTATATACATACATGTATGTGTGTGTATATACATACATGTATGTGTGTGTATATACATACATGTATGTGTGTGTATATACATACATGTATGTGTGTGTATATACATACATGTATGTGTGTGTATATACATACATGTATGTGTGTGTATATACATACATGTATGTGTGTGTATATACATACATGTATGTGTGTGTATATACATACATGTATAGATGTGTATGTATATATGTGTATATGTGTATAGACGTATATGTATATATGTGTATATGTGTATAGACGTATATGTATATATGTGTATATGTGTATAGACGTATATGTATATATGTGTATATGTGTATAGACGTATATGTATATATATGTGTATAGACGTATATGTATATGTGTATAGACGTATATGTATATATGTGTATATGTGTATAGACGTACATGTATATATGTGTATATGTGTATAGATGTATATGTATATATGTATATGTGTATAGATGTATGTGTATATATGTGTATATGTGTATAGACGTACGTGTATATATGTGTATATGTGTATAGACGTATATGTATATATGTATATGTGTATAGATGTATGTGTATATATGTGTATATGTGTATAGACGTACGTGTATATATGTGTGTATGTGTATATATACGTATATGTATATATGTGTATATGTGTATATATACATATATTTCAAAATTACGTAACTTTAAAATATATAACTAAATTATCTAGTATTTAGAAATTAAAGAGCCAGATAAGTATTATTTGCTGCATACTTATATATTTTAATCAGATTTTTAGCTAATATTCATGGGTTGGTATTTCTCAGAAAAGAAACATATTTGATACTGTCTTATTCCTAATTTTTAATCTTCATCAATGTTGCTTTTTATAGTTAATTAGATTATTGATATACTTAAATTACTTATCTGTAAAATATTTTCACATATACTGGTTTAATGTTGTCATTGAGAATAATGAATCTCTAGAAATCTTTTGCAAGACAAAATGTGTAAATATTTGGCCAAGTTTTCATTGTGCTTAATTTTTTCCTTTGCAATTTCGTGTTCCACTTCAATATAGAATATATGTATTTATGCAGTTAAAATAGAAATTCCATTTGAGGATTCATCCCATCATTTGACATTTCAAATTATAATTACATGATTTAAAATTAAAACTTCTAACCATATTTCAGTAGTCATCATCTAATTTTTCAGTGCCTGTCATGTGGTATATAAACCAAGCATGGAGGATGTCATGGATCAAAATGATGATTGCTGAGTTTAGGTTGTGGGAAACATGGAAGAGGTCTTTCTTTGGAAAATTTTATGTTAAAAACTTGAAATTAACTGAAGTCTTCAAAAGGCTAAGTTTTTAAAAACTTGGCCATTCTATTTATAAAATAATTTAATGAAAGATTTCCATTATTTTCTGAACAAATGCAAATACAATTTAATACATTCTTTATTTAAAATATGATGGGACACACCGAGTGATTTAATAAGTTTTTCAAAGACTCAAATGGAAACACATGTCATGTTCATGGATGGGTAGAATCAATATTGCAAAAATGCCAAATTCAATGCAATTCCCATTAAAATACCACCATCATTTTTCACAGAACTAGAAAAAGCAATCCTAAAATTCATATGGAACCAAAAAAAGAGTCCACATAGCTAAAGCAAGTCCAATCAAAAAAGAACAAATCTGAATGTGTCACATTACCTGACTTCAAACTATGCTATAAGGAAATAGTCACCGAAACAGCATGGTACTGGTATAAAAACAGGCACACAGATGAATGAAACAGAATAGAGAACCCAGAAATAAACCCAATACTTACAGCCAACTGTTGTTCAACAAAGCAAACAAAAACTTACAGCCAACTGATGTTCAACAAAGCAAACAAAAACATAAAGTGGCGAAAGGACATCCTATTCAACAAATGGTGCTGGGATAATTGGAAAGCCACATGTAGAAGAATGAAACTGTATCCTCACCTCTCACCTTATACAAAAATCAATTGAAGATGAATCAAGGGCTTAAATCTAAGACCTGAAACTATAAAAATTCCAGAAGATAACATCAGAAAAACCTTTCTAGACATTGGCATAGGCAAAGACATCATGACCAAGAACTCAAAAGCAAATGCAACAATAACAAAGATAAATGGGCGGGACTTAAACTAAAGAGCTTCTGCCCAGCAAGAGGAACAGTCAGCACAATAAACAGACAACCAACAGAGTGAGAGAAAATCTTTGCAATCTATACATCCAATAAAAGACTAATATCCAGAATCTACAAACAACTCAAACAAATTAAGAAGAAAAAAACAAATATCCCCATCAAAAAGTGGGCTAATGACATGAATAGACAATTATGAAAAGCAGATATATAAATGGCCAACAAACATATTTAAAAAGGCTCAGCATCACTAATCATCAGGGAAATGAAAATCAAAACCACAATGCGATACCAAACTACTCCTGCAACAATGGCCATAATCAAAAAATCCAAATAACGGATGTTGGCATGGATGTGGTAAAAAGGGAACACTTCTACACTACTGATGGTAATGTAAACTAGTACAACCACTATGGAAAACAGTGTGGAGATTCCTTAAAGAACTAAAAGTAGAACTACCATTTGATCCAGCAATCTCACTACTAGGTATCTACCCGGAGGAAAAGAAGTCATTAAACAAAAAAAGATACTTGCATACACACGTTAATAGCAGCACAATTTGCAATTGCAAAATATGGAACCAACACTAATGGCCATCAATCAGTGAGTGGATAAAGCATTTGTGAGATATATATATGTGTGTATATATATATGTATATGTATATATATGTATATGTATATATGTGTGTGTGTGTGTGTGTGTGTATATATACACACATATACACAATGGAACACTACTCAGCACTAAAAAGGAACAAATTAATGGCATTCACAGCAACCTGGATGGAACTGGAGATTATTATTCTAAGTGAAGTCACTCAGGAATGGAAAACCAAACATCATATGTTATTACTTATAAGGGGGAGGTAAACTATGAGGATACAAAGGCATAAGAATGTAGAACAGACTTTGGGGACTCAGGAAAAAGAGTGGGAGGGGGTGAGGAATAAAAAACTACAAATTGGGTTTGGGAGCTTGGGTGATGGGTGCACCAAAATCTCACATATCACCACTAAAAAACTTACTCATGTTACCAAACACTATTTGTTCCACAAAAACCTATGGAAATAATTTTTTTAAAGAAAAGTGGAAATTATGCAATCAACATTTTCAAATAAATAATTTTAAAAACTTAAAAAAATAATATTTATAATCATAAGCAAAGAGAAAAACCTTGTACTCCATAGTGAAGAATGAGGTTTTTTTTTAACTGTTTCACAAGTTTTATCATTCCATTACTATAATTATAATATGTACACACATACAAACATATTTAGATATGTTTACACAATTTATATATATGCCAATTAGTAGCATAACACAGGCTTTGGGGAGAACAATTATAAGTTATGTATGCACTACAAACAATGCCAATTATATTTCCACTCTCTGATAACTAAATTTATGTGTGAAATAATTTGGAGGGTGTACCGGGATGATATTAATACTTAAATAAGTGAACTCTGGGTAAAGCAGATTGACCTCTATAATGTGATTCAGCCTCATCCAATTAGATGAAGGCTTGAATAGAAAAAAAAAAAAAAAGACTGGCCTCTCCCAACAAGAGGAAATTCTTCAGCAGATTGCCTTTCAATTTAATCTGTACCATTGACACTTTGTGAGCATCAGCTTGCCAGTCTTCAGACTGTAACTGCACCATTGGCTTTCCTGGGTTTTGAGCCTGCTAGCCCACTGGATAGATTTGAACTTGCCAGACTCCATAATCATATAAGCCAATTACTTGCAATAAATCTCTCTCTCTCTCTCTCTCTCTCTCTATATATATATATATATATACACACACACACACATATGTATGTATATATATGCATATATACACATTACATATATATACATTTTATATATGTGTATATGAGATTCACTCTGTTTCTCTATAAAATCTGAAATCCTTAGCTTTCTAATTTAGTAGATCATTGTTTTATATCAAAAAAATTCTTCAAAAACTTTTTCTTTGTATTATTAATATAAATAAATTTCTATCTCAATATTATTATTTTAATTTAAAATAGCATTCAAAATATTTCCTTTTGGCAGGCTGAACTCAAAATTTGGTTTGTGTGGTAAGGCAGATAACACACATGCCAAAAGGATATGAAAAGATTTATTGCACATATAAGACTTTCTGGAGAGAATAGGAAAGGCTCCAAGCAGGTGTAAAAATGGTCTCAGCAAAGAGAGGGGTAGAGTGGCTCTGATTTTTACTGTGGTCAGAAAGGGGAGCTGAGATGTGTGAGGGGCAGTGCACTGACAGAGATCTGCATGCTTTGAACTTCCTCCTACTGTCAAAGGATGGAGGGAATGGGCTTTTTATCCCTTTGCCTACATGTGGAGCAAGAGAGGAAATGGGAGGGCTGAAACTTAAAAGCCAGCAGTAATCAGACATCAAAAATGGAGACAGAGTCTTTATTACATAGGTTGAATGAAATAATATCAACTGATATTGAAATTAACTTATTTTTTGCTTGCAAGATCTGATGGCATCAACAGAAAGCTGGCATCACTTAACTGTTTATAAAAATGTTTCTTCTGTGAATGAAGCCAACACATTAGAGCTACCCCTTACCTCTTCTCCCCTGTACAAGAAAACTTGGAATTAAAACAGGAAAAATTAATTTTGAAGAACAGCATTTTAATTTAAATGTCAAGTTATACTTCATAGACTGATGTGAAAATGCACATCCTTCTTCTAAATGTGTTTTACCATAATTTTCAAGCACAGTCTTCTTAAAAAGGTAACAACTAACTGTGAAGCATCTTTGGCAGATTTGTTCCTTCTCAGTATCACTGATGTGGAAGGTGATATCACGACTCTCACAATAGATGACAAATATCTGCAAACATGTTATGGAAATTATACGTTCACTATAAACTTCCTTAAGAGAGAAGCCCCATAATTTATGACGATCTTTCTTTTTTCTTTGTTTTTAGAGCTAATTCCTCTGAAATGATCTATTGAACAACAACCCCCCACCCACCCCCTGCCAAAAAAAGGTATCACTTATCAGGTAGTTAAAGGAAAAAAATATTATTAGATTTACACCATACAATGAATGACCAAATATTTGTGTTAAGAGTGTTCAAGCTATGCTTCCATTGATGGCAGACTGCTTAGCCTCTATATTCCACATATATTCTATGAATTTTCATCTTACAATGCCTCACATTTTCCTCTGACACCACAGTTTGGTGGTCTGGCACATGGCATATCACATACACTGAGAAAGGATACATAGTAACAACTGACTGGGACCCCAAGTGAATAGCAGGGGCAGCAGTATGGAATACTCAAGAAGAGATTCACTTCTAGTGGTTCCTGGATAAGCAGTTTGATGTTGGTCAACACCCAGCAAACTGTTCTTGAAAGACATGTGTAGTTGTCTGTATCTGGAAAGAGACATAGTTTATCACCTCACATTCTTCAGATAAAAATACTAGTTAACACGGTTCTCATATCCTAATAGAAAAGACTATATTGGAAACTGGAAGAAGTAAAGTTTGCCACATCCACCCTGGTTATTTTAATGCAACTATTAAGGTAAAAATTCATAAAAATTGTGAAGTGTCGTGTTCACACTAAGCTGAATGTCATGCTAAGACAACAGTGTAAACAGGGACTGTACCAAGAAATCCAAATGAAGGTCACTGGACTTATGAACCAGTTGATATTAGGTTGGTGCAAAAGTAATTGTGCTTTTGCCATTACTTTTGCACCAAACTAATACTATTATCATAGTATCCAGCAATGACTCTTTCATACGTAATTCAAACAGTAAATGCCAGAGCCTGTATTTTTACTCAGACATTTTGACATCAAAGCTTGAGCTCCTTGCCACTACATTATGACGCAGCTTGAAGATAGCTAGAGGAAAGCTAAGCAAATGCACTGAGGTGATTTAGAGAGAACTGAATAACAGATGGGAAGATGTACCAAAACAGGAGCCTGAAGATGTAGGTACCTAGTAATGGGTAACTTCTTTAAAGGATTGGAAAATACTGCAACATTTTTTGCCATCACTCATCAGATTTAGTGACCCAATATTAAGCAGTCTATGTCCACGTTCATTTATTCAAACATTTAATTAAGTAAGTAATTGAAATGAATACTGGTCGCTTGTCAAATTTTTCTAGCCTCTGTGGGTAAAGTTAATTGATGAAGCAGCCGTGGCCTCATGAAATGTATGAAACAGTGAAGTAGACAAGTGTTCAGTAAACACTACCATGGTCTCAAAAATTTTTGCATAAAATTTCCTTGTCAGTAAAAATGTTTAAGCATGCTTGAGAGAGGTTTTCACACATTTGGGGAAATGAGAAGGGAAATGAGAATCGCCAGAGAGAATGAGGGCAACGTGCTGAGAGATGATGCTGGAGAGGTAGGTAACAGAGTTCATTTCAAAATTGTCTTCTGAAGCCCACATTTCTGGATTCTAACCTTGAGGTAGTGAGCGTTTAGTGAAAGACTGTAATCAGGAACATGACTTAATAATGGCTGATTTTTAAAAGGTCAATTTGAATACCTTATTAATTTGTAAAAGTGCAAGACTAGATGTAAGAAACCAAATGGGAGGTCAAAGTATTAGTGAAAAATGTAAGAACTTGTTTTAGGGTAGTGGGAGAGCTAAGACAGAATAGTTTAAATGGCTAGACTGCCGAACAGTTCAAACTATTCAAAATTTATGTCAGAGCTACGATGGGCATTACATCTATACTAGTTTGCTAGAGCTGCAGTAACAAAGTCACAAACTGTATGGCATAAGCAAGATAAATTTATTGGCACACAGTTCTGGAGACTATAATTTTAAAATTGAGGTGTCGGCAGGTTCAGTTCCTTTTTCTTCCTTTTTTTCTTAATTTTATATTAAAATATTCCTTAGAAAAAAATTGGTTCCTTCCAAGGGCTGAGAGGAAGGAACCTGTTCCAGGCCATTCTCCTTGGCTTGCAGAAGGCCATCTTTTTGGATGTTTGTGTCTCTTCATATTGTCACCTCTCTATGGCTGTCTCTTTATCTTTGTATTTCTTTTTATAAGGACACCAGTCATATTGGATTGGGGGCTCATCCTACTCCACTATAACCTCATTCAAACTTAACTAATTATGTCTGCAATGACCAAATATTTTCAAGTAAGTTCAGATCCTAAGGTACTAGGGGTTAGGATTCCGACATAGGATTTTGGGGGAAAGCAATTCAACCCATAAGAATACCTATCCAGGGCCGGGCGCGGTGGCTCATGCCTGTAATCCCAGCACTTTGGGAGGCCGATGCAGGTAGATCACGAGGTCAGGAGTTCGAGGCCAACCTGGCCAAGATGGTGAAATCCCGTCTCTACTAAAAATACAAAAATTAGCCAGGCGCAGCGGCAGGCACCTGTAATCCCAGCTACTCAGGAAGCTGAGGCAGGAGAATCGCTTGAACCCAGGAAGCGGAGGTTGCAGTGAGCCGATATCGTGCTGCTGCACTCCAGCCTGGGTGACAGAGCAAGACTCCGTCTCAAAACACAAACAAAAACAAAAACCAAACCAAAACAAAAAAACAGAATACCTATCCAGAAAAATACGACTATTGTGTAATTAATTGTAGACATTGAGTATTCTGAGCCACAAGGTTATGAAAATCAGTTCAAAGGAAAGTGTGAGCTTGAAATTGGCCCAGGAGACTTTGCGTTTCTGTAATAAACAACAGTGGATGTGAGTGTGAATATGTGTGTAAGGACCAATATCATCACCATCAGTTAGTTTTCTAATTAAAAAAAGAAAAAATACTGAAACCCGTATTATTGGATTTCCTGATTTTCAGAAATATAAACTTCACCACAGGAAGTGTGTCACTCAGTTTCTCCCAACCAAGCTGAGAAAAAAAGTAAAATAAATAAATAAATAATAAATAAAAATGCCTTTTGGTGGCATCTATTTTCTCTTTGTGGTAGAAAGCAAATCATGGGCAGTAGATAAATGGGAAGTTAGCAAAAAGGGAAGTTTGAAGAGAGCGGAGACAATTTTAAGTGGTTATTGGAAAGGGTAGTTGCTTCTATATGCTGCTGTAAGATTCCTTCACTATCAACAGCTGCCTCCCCTACCCATGAAAAGATTTCTTTGTTCTTTCAGAACTTGATACTTGGCAGAAAAGAACTGCCCCTCCCTCTGCCCCATAGAGTTTTGTCATTCAGAACAGTACTTATAACAGCTATATTCTTGTCCACAAGGTTGCCCTGACTTGGACTTTTTTTCAGAGTTCGTACAAAATACAATTTATCTAGTTACAAAGGAAGGAAGCTTTGACATACGTTTATCATCACAACTTCAATTAAACATGCTCTTATTTTTTTTTCTGTCCTGCACAAACAAAATTTGACATTTCTATGCGGAGAGAAAAAAATTCCAGCAGCAGTAGCTCCCACGGTAACCAAACTTCTTGTCCATAAAATATCAGCTGATAGGCTCAGTGCCTATTCAAGGGCTGCTGGTTAACCAGTAATTCATCGCAATTTGCTATTGCAAGGTAGTATCAATGAACGTTATCATTTAAATTGGTGGATCCATAAAGAGTAGAAAAGCAAGAGTTAAAATCAGCAGTAGAGAGTTATGTAATGAATCAATCATATTAGCATGAGCTTAAAATAACTACCTTTTATACGTTTTGTTCCATCAAACAAAAGCAGCTGTTTAGCTATCTAAAATGAGTTAGATCTATTTGCATTTATCTCCTTTATAATAAATTAAAATTTACTACGCTAAGAATAAGGCTTTTTAAAAATATGTAGATCACAGGTGTTCAAGATATTGAGCTAGTTCCCTAAACTGCTTTGGTTCAAGTTTCTCTAGATTTAAAATACTGAAGATGATGCCAGCAGCTTTACCTAACTCTTAGACATAAACTAAATGCAACTACATCATCTCAGGAGGTAAGAAATCCTTATGATTTTAATATCTACCATTTTGTTTTTATATTTGTTTCTTATCTAATAAAATGCCATAATTAATGAAAAATCTCCAGCTGTTTAGGCAGTTTGGAAAACTGTATTTACTTCATTATTGCCTAAACAAATGAATTTGTGTGTATATTTGCTGGATGCTTCATTTTTTGAAACTAAATGCATTATATAGTTAACTGAGTACTTCCATGAATATAAAACTTGTTCCAAAGTTGATTGCATTCTTCTAGGACAAAGTAAAAGTACAAGTTTAGACATGTAGAAGATATGCAATAAACACTGCTTTTTCTAATGGTAGATATTTTAAAAATAATTTTTATAGTTAAGTCCCACAATTTAGTAAAGCAAGGAATGGAATGGGCAATACTATAATGTTTTCTACATAATATTTTCAACCAATTTAGATTGAAGAAATATATCTACAGTTATCTGATTCAATTCTTGTTAAAGTACCTGTGCATAAATATACAATCATTATTCATACATCCCATAAAAGCAAAATGCATTCACTAGCTAGACACAAAATGAAGTTTATAGGTGTATACAAGTTGATTTCAGCATAGTAAATTTATTTTCTTTTTATCTTATGTCACCAATGAAATGATCAACATAATTGAATTAAATTTGTTACCTGGTAACAAACAGAAGATGCATCTGTTTTATAACCAAATACAATCTCTGAAACCTTATATTTCTCTGCTATATCACCCTGACAATTAACATGCTATAAAATAAGATCTATACCCTGAATACCATATGGTACACCTTTCTGTTAGACCACAGTGTTAACTTTTTGATAATAAAATATGGATTTTTTTGTAACAGAATTTTCCTGCTTTGAAAAGATACGAATGATACTAAATCAAAGAGGAAGTAAGTTGAAATACTCAGCTATATGCTTCCTGCTGTGGATTGTTATTTCTAATATATGTGTATGCAATTATATATCACTAATAACAAATACATATTGAGTTGTTAGTACATGACAGACATTTTACAGAAAAAGTTTACATGTATAATCTCATTTATACTTACACTGACTCAGTGACATTAATGCAATCATTATTCCTATTTTGCAAGTGAGAGAAGTAAACCAGAGAGAGATTAAGAAAGAAGAAAAATATTGGCAGTCAGAAATGCAGAATTTGAGAGAAAGAGAGAATAATGACAAAACTTTTCCTCAAAGAAGATTCAGAAGTAAATATTTCTACCTCTTCTACTTTTAGGGGAGAAAAATAACAAAGCAATAGTGCAGCAGCATTTTCAAGAAGCTCAGGAAAGAATTCAGGAACCAAAAACATTATATCCAGCTAAGGTTTCTTTCAAGTCTCAAAGCCATAGATAATGTTGAAGAATGTTGAGGCTGGGTACGGTGGCCAATGCCTGTAATCCCAGCACTTTGGGAGGCCTAGATGGGTGGATCAGTGGAGGTCAGGAGTTCAAGATCAGCCTGGCCAAAATGGTGAAACCCCTTCTCTACTAAAAATACAAAACTAGCCGGGTGTGGTGGCACACGCCTGTAATCCAATTACTCAGGAGGCTGAGGCAGGAAAATCGCTTGAACCGGGGAGGCAGAGGTGGCAGTGAGCCAAGATTCCCGTCTGGGCAATAGAGCGAGACTCTGTCTCCAAAAAGAAAAAAAAAGAAAAAAAACCAGAAAACTTTTTTTTTTTTTTGTCTGAGAAATATATTAGAGGATGAATTTTATCCAACCAAAATATGACTAGGAAAATTTCAGCCAAAAATTGATATTGGCCATTTTATGTATTTAATTATTGAGCTAAGACTACCACAAGAGTGGGGTTTTGAGGTTGAAGAATTATATGTAAACATATGCACTCTGACAAAATAGAAAGGATGCAACGAAAAACTGGGAGAGAAAGAGTAGAATGATTGTTGCCTGTTTGATACGTAGTAGGTGCCAGACAAAAAATGCTGTATAAAATGAACACAAATGATAATAAAGTGTTAAATAAGAAAAATATTTTTAAAAATATTAAAACAAAGGTAATTACTAAAATGAAAATACAGACTTTCCTAAGTACTAAAATAACCTTTTAAAATGGTGCAAAGACACAGAAAATGATTTTTTTAAAACATAGTAAATATAACACTCAAAATAATAACAAGATAATATGACAGATTTGAGACCAAACAAAACAGTTATGTCAATAAATGTGATTAGGGCTTAACTCAGCTACAAACAAACAACATAAAGCAAACTCAACTTTATGCTCTAATCAAGACAACATTTTAAAACAGTCATTAAAAAAGGCAAAAACAAAGGAATGGGCAAGTCCTCACAATCCAACAAGAAACAGTGAGACAATAAGGGGTTGCAATCTTGATTCCAAAGTAGAATTTGAGGCATAAACCTTTTAACTGAGATTAAAAAAAAAAGTGAATGATCAAAGCTATAAAAATGAAACTATCATTTAAATATATATGTACCAAATAACACAGAAACTATAAAAAGCAAAAATACCGAGGATATCATAAGAAATTATAAAAACACAGTATTAATAAGAGATTTTAAGATATTCTCAGTTTGAAAGTAGTAAGGCAGACAAAATTTAAATTAAATTACATAAGTCTATAAAATATAAAATTGATAAGGTCAGTTTCTTAGATATTCATTCAACAATATACTCCAGTAATAGAACATAATTTATTTTCACTTGCATATGAAAAGACCAAAAATATTTACATTAAAACACAAAAAAATCAGTAAATTTTATAATGTATAAATAAGACAAAACAATCTGAAAAATAAAATTAAACTTCTCTTGCACATGGATATTAAGACTTCTTACATAATTACCTTTGAGGAAAAAAGGAAAATACACAGAAATTTTAGGATTTCTGAAAAAATGTGATAATGAAAAGCATTACCTATCAAAATCTATGGCATATACTTAAAGTAGTGATAAAAAGAAATTCTCCAGTCGAAGAGATGCTCATTAGTAAAAATGTAAGACTAACAATTTAAATGAATTTAATTCTCCCCTTCAAAATTTAAAGAAAAGTAACAACAAAATAATCCAAAGAAAATATAACGAAAAAATAATAAATATAAAAGCAAATTCTGTTAGAGAGAAAACATAATAACATCAACTTAATAAATCAAATTCCTGTTATTTTGAAAAAATTTACAAAATAGGTTAAGCACTGGTTATGGGAATAGAAGAAGAAAAGTGCTACAAAGGACATTGTTAAATTAACTGACAAAATTATAATATAAATGGTAGATTAGATATAAATATTGTATATATCCTAAATAGTGACTGATATACAGTTATAACTCAAAATGTCTATATTCTTAGAAAATATGCATTAAAGTTTTGGGGATAAAAGTTATGCTAGGTAAATGGCTCAAAATATTATTTTTCTCCCTCACCTTCTCCCTCTCTCTCAAGAGAAAAAGACAGAAAGCAAATGAGAGAAAAGTTTAACTATTAGTGAATCTGGGAAAAGGGTATATAGATGCACTGTACTTTTTATTTTTGGAATTTCCCTATTAGTTTTAATTTATTTCCAAGTGTAAAGTTAAACATTGTGAAAGCTTTCTATGCTCACGGTAATTTGTATTAGATAGTTTTTGAACCTGACATCCCTTCTAATTGCTCCCTCAGACTACATGCAGCCTAAAGTCTCTACTTCAAGAGCATAGCTCTCATATTTCTTCCTTGTGGCTTTTACAGAAGTCAGAAGTTAAGGAATTACACCTGGGCCTAGCAATGGGGAATGAGCCAATGGATAATTACCTCAGCCACATCTCTTTATATGGACAATTCTGGAAAATACTCCATGCTTCTTGGAAGGCCTGTAGGAGTCAAGTTTTGTGGTCAACAGAAAGGACCTTACTAATGCATGCTTTATTTTATTTTCTTGCCCCACCACCCCCGGTCTTACTTTCTTCACACATTTATTTGTGCTACTTGGAAACACTCCCAAATAAATTACCTCCATACAAGTCCTTGTCACAGGCTTTGCTTTCAATGAAGTTCTTACTAAAATACATTGCACGAACCAGTCCAACAGTGTTTGGGCTGGTTAAAGAAGAGAGTTAATCTGCCCTCTTGCCTTTTAGGAAAGGCACTGATAATAGCCTGATTTTCTCTGTCCTCAGAGATTCCTATACTACATATATAAACATATATACCATTTCCTTGGCCAAGCACAGTGGCTCACACCTGTAATCCCAGCACTTTGGGAGGCCAAGGTGGGAGAATCCTGCCCCCTTTTGAATAACTGGATTGAATTCGAAACAATTAAAAGGGAAAAGAAAAGAGGAGGTAGAAGAGGGAAAAGTGAAGGAGGAGAAGAAAAAAAAATCAAAAACTCCTCAATTACTCTTCAGTTCTTCATATTACATCCCTTAGGGCTTCTGCATTCACATATACCTGGAACTAAACTGGCATAAATACAACATCACCCATACCATCAGTACAACTGCCGAAAGTCTATTAAATAGCAGAGATCAGTTTTTCCAATTAAGTGACTGTGCACTACTCGTATTATCCAATATAGCTATTAAAAAACGAAAAAAGCATCTTGGACTTCACTGTAAAAGAGTTGGGATGCAATATAAACTTTTAAAACTAAAGTATGATCTGTTCATTATTATTTTTAAAGTCTAGTATTTAAAAAGTAGACACAAATAAATATAGTAATATTTTAGATACGGGGGCAGTGAAATAAAGGATAAAACCCCACTCATATTTCTGGTTTGAATAACTGGATTGAGATTTGATTTACTGAGAAGGGAAAATAAAAGAGGCAGAGGAAGAAAAATAAAAGGAGGAGAAGGAAAAAAATTACAACAGTTAACATCGTCAGGCACCATGATACCTATATTGATTTTCATTTTGCCATCATAGCTCAAGAGGTAGGTATAATTATGACTTCCATTCTGGACATATAAAAACTGAATTCAAGCCAGGCACAGTGGTTCCCTGTAATCCCAGCACTTTCAGAGGCTGAGGCGGGAGGATCACTTGAGGGCAAGAATTTGAGACCAGCCTGGCCAACATGGTGAAACCCCATCTCTACTAAAAATACAAAAAAAAAAAAAAAAAAAAAATTAGCCAGGCGTGGTGGTGCATGCCTGTAATCTCAGCTACTCGGGAGGCTGAGGCAGGAGAATAACTTGAAGCTGGGAGGCGGAGGTTGCAGTGAGCTGAGATCGCGCCACTGCACTCCAGCCTGGATGACGGATCAAGACTCCATCTCCAAAAAAAAAAAAAAAAAGAACTTGTACAAAGGCACATAGTTAGTAGATGATTTGTCAGTACTTCGGACAAGCTAGTAGGTAGTCTAAAACTAGAACCCATAACCACAACAAAACAATTTATAGAGGTGATGGTGCCACAGTCACCAACAAGTCAGATTTCCACTGGCTGATTAACACTGAGCTTTCCATTATCAATTTAAAACAAAATTTGTAAATAATGCAAAATTATTTCTCATTAAAAACATGAATGAATCTGTAATCCCAGCACTTCGGGAGGCTGAGGCGGGCGGATCACGAGGTCAGGAGATTGAGACCATCCTGGCCAACACGGTGAAACCCCGTCTCTACTAAAAATACAAAAATTAGCTGTGTGTAGTGGCGTGCGCCTGTAGTCCCAGCTACTCAGGAGGCTGAGGCAGGAGAATCCCTTGAACCCGGGAGGCGGAGGTTGCAGTGAGCTGAGATCGCACCACTGCACTCCATCCTGGCGACAGAGCAAGACTGTCTCCAAAAAATAAAATAAATAAAAATAAGGCAAAACATGAATGAAGAATACATGGTATATGTCAAAAACAGGAAATTCTGGATCTACTCATTATATCTGTTTTTCATATTATTTTTGAACTGTGAAGCATTATCCCACAAACTATATTTTAAAAATTAATTTAGCTGAAAAAATATATGTATTTCTTGAGAGAATAAAATCTCTCATTATGTTTAGCAAAAAAGAAAAAAAAAATTTTTCAGGCAGCACTGGGCTTGCATTCCCATCCAGCAAAAAGAGGAAGGAGCTGGGTACTCTCTGTCTCTCTCTAAAAGGAGCATGCACTCTGCTGTTTTTCCCTCTTCCCATTCCAGGTTTTTGTAATAGAACCAAGAAAAAAAAAAAAGAAACCATAAAACTTGAAGAAATTAATTTAATCCAAGAAACAAAAGTGTTTCAGGAATAAGAGAGTAAGTAGTTAATTGTGTACTAAATGATACTTTAAAGACAAGGTTAAATAAACCATGAACCAGATTTCTTGTAGAGACAATGGTCAAGTGAATAAGAGACATAGGAAAATAAACATTTATATAATTTGTGGCAAATAAAAAAATAAAGTTGTATAACATGCAGTGGAAATAACCCACAGTAACATGTACAAGGCTTACAGGAGCCACCGTTCTTAGAATAGTGGTGATTTTATTAATTTTTAAGATTTTTCTTTATTTTCTTAATTTCTATATTATTATATTCTTATTTCTATTATTGTATAATGATCAAATATGTTACTTCTAAAAAGTAATCTATTGAATTTAAAGTATCTCATAAATAGAATTTTCCAAGACTCTCAAATCTTTTGAAAAAAATTGTGTCCCTGGTATGCTGACTTTATCTGCAAAAAAAGAAAGCATCAAAGTCCCTAGACGTCCACCCAGCTGTTTCTAGCTTCTGTTATATTTACTCTGATTTATCTAGCATGGCATATAATTAGTTGTTTGGGTTATTGAATAAAGCCTGACTGTACTTGATTATGATTCACAACACATTATTTATATTGTCATTATAAAGGCAATTTTGGGCCAAGGTACATTTCAACTTCTTTTTATTGGGAAAAGCATGTCGAAAAGCTGGTACATAGCCTTCCTCCAAACACTATAAATTATTTTCTGTATGTGTTTAATGACAACATTATGTGTTTTTAATTAAAAATGAATGTGCCTAGAGAGTTCTCCAAAAATACCCATATCCTTGGCACAATATCTGTCTATAGAAATTTTTCACAGCAGTTGTCTAGCTCAAAGTCTATATTTATGAAAATTTTCCTCAGTTTAGTTAACAGAAATTAAATTAATTGATGTTTACACTCCCCATGGAACATTTTTCATGGTTACATCTCATGAAATAGTGGACACAACAAATATTTCCATAAGGGCAAAGGAAAGAATAATTCAATTGAGAATTGTATTCCTCCATTGAATATAAGCTTCTGAAGGCATAAAGTATAGCTGACACGGATTCGCTCCCCTTCCAGACTGGTATTTTTACATACGCCATCCCTTAAGACAGTGAGTAGTGTCACAAGAAATCTGAGATGATAGTTTGTTGATTGTTCTCTGCCTGTTTTCTAGACTCTTGTTAGAGGTCTGAAATGGCTGCTCTTTTTTTGTTTCTTTGTATTAATCTCTATTAACCCCACTCCATTCCAAAGTAAATAAAGTTAGTATTTTTTTTCTTTTTAAACTAGCAGTGGTACATACGAAAACCTACCTGGCACATAAATATATAAGAAATATTTTCATTTACAGTTACCACAAAAACCCAGGTTCAGTTTAATAATTTATGAAAGTTATAAACATGAGATCAAACTTTGCTTATACTTTTCCTTCCAGGTTTTCACTAAAAAGCCATAATATTGTTTAGGAGTCATAAAAGTCTTTAATTTATATATCACAGCCTGCTTTTATTTGGTCTAGGGATCTACATAACACACATGTTATGCATTCCCCAATTGCTGATGCCAACATGATGACAAGAATGCTGAGATTAATTACTTTAATGCTGGCCTAACTCAGCTATTCTAAAGGTCAGATGAAGGCTTGCTAAAAAGAAACCAAAACTCTATGGATCAGCTTAACTACTGCAAACTACTGTGATAAATTAGGATTTGTGCATAATTTATTCTTTTTTTAAAAAAAAGTCTACACTGTTAAAGAGTTTCAATTTATTAGACTAATTTGTGTACTTTGGAAGGAGACCAGCTCCCATCATCCTATTGGACATTTGATTTAGGATTTTTACCATCAGCACTATTCCTGCTATATGAAGAGGGTGTTACAGTAGGTAGCTAGTCAGGCATGAGCAGGGAAGGAGAGCACCTTGCCACCACACCGCTCACTGCTCTCCCACCAGGAATGTCAGGAAACCATCAGGTGATAGTTAGGCAGTTGTCACACTGCCTCTCTGAAATAATAATTGTGTTGCAGGACTTCTCCCTTAGTTGAGCTAAAGACAGGGTTCTTTGTCTCACTGCCACAAAAATTCAGGCAAGCAGACAATTTAAATGGTGAGTAAGATAGGTTTTTACTGGGTGAAAATGAAGAAAAGGGGAAAACAGGGACTCTCGCTAGGCCAGAGTGCCCTGCTAGAGTCCTTCCTACCTGCAGTTCAAATTCCAGGTTCCAATTCTAGGTTCCACATAGAAAGAGGCCGGGCCAGGCTCCTCCCTGCTTCAAAGGGCAGGAACTTCCTGAGACTCCACCTCAGTGTGCAGGCTGGTTGAAGTTTCTCCAGGGTCTCCCCTCCCACCTGGCTGTCTCAACTGGTTACAGCTGGTGTCAGGGAAAGGCAGTTTCCCGATAGATAGAAACACCTGAAACTGGTGTAGCTTCCCAGTAAGTAGCTTCCCAATAAGATCTCAGGAGTTGGGTAAGTAAGCTCAAGCATGTGCATTAAGAGGAAAAATGGTGGAATTTAGCTGGTATGTGACCTTCCAGGGACATTCCACCGCTAAGGGAAGAATGCCTCAAGTGAGCATGCATACAACATACAAAACCCCAAGTCGGCTGGGCGCGGTGGCTCATGCCTGTGATCCCAGAACTTTGGGAGGCTGAGGCGGGCGGATCACGAGGTCAGGAGATCGAGACCACCCTGGCTAACACAGTGAAACCCCGTCTCAACTAAAAATACAAAAAAAATTAGCTGGGCATGGTGGCACACGCCTGTGGTCCCAGCTACTCGGGAGGCTGAGGCAGGAGAGTGGTGTGAACCCAGGAGGCAGAGCTTGCAGTGAGCCGAGATCACGCCACTGCACTCCAGACTGGGCAACAGAGCAAGACTCCGTCTCAAAAACAAAACAAAACAAAACAAAAGAAAACAAAACAAAACAAAAACTAGTCAGAAGGTCAAACCAGGCACTTGACTCACTAAAATTGCCTGCTTTGCCCTCTTCCAAGTGTACTTTCCTTCCTTTTATTCCTGCTGTAATGGTTTTTAATAAACTTTCACTCCAACTCTTAAAACCTGCCTCAGTCTCTCCTTCTGCTTTATGCCCTTCAGTGGAATTCTTTCTTCTGAGGAGGCAAGAAGTGATGTTGCTGCAGACCGATACGGATTCACCATTGTAAACAAGGGCAGATATGGGTTTTCACTTATAAGAGTCTGATGCTGAAATCTCTAATATAATACTCTTGAGAGATTTAGCTGAAATAATTTTGGTATGACAAAAAGATTGGTCTATAAAGAAGGGCATTTTCTAAGTCCAAGATTAGCTATAAACTATTAACTATAAACTGAAGTTTATAGGTAAAAAAATAAGTTTATAGCTTAAGAACACAAAAATCACGAGTGACTAATTCTCCTACTCATAGAATGGGGTCATCAGCCATGTGTTACCTTTCTCTACCGAAATAACATGAGGGTCCTCTCCTCTCTTAGGATTTCTAAATTTACTGTAACAATGCTAGCATTTTTGTTGAAAGCAAATGAACTCATAACTTAACGTATAGTATAAGATAAACTTAATAGCTTGGGCATGATGCATATTAAGGTGGTATATGCTTCACTTCTATATTCCTACATTTCTGCCTAGTATTCCTAGCTAATATCTATTTTCTCAAAAGGTATCCCTGTAGTGAACAACCTAAGAGGTAAGCTCTGCGTTGGATTTTGCTTTTCCACATACCTGAATCTGTTCCTAAATTGAATGTTTTCTGTAAGAGATGTGTCAAGGTTTTAGTCTGTAAACTGATACTTAAGGCAATTACTTCCATCAATTAGGATGCATCCAAAATTAATTATTATATTAAACTCTCATGTGATACACAATATCTGCTGCCACAGATGCAGTGTCCCTTTGCCTGTCTGGGATTAGGCAAAGATAAAAAAAAAAAATCTGAAAATGGTGTTCAGACTCAGGAACACTGTTATGAATAGATTTCACCTCCACGATTAATTATTTAAAAATAAAACGACTGGAGATGGTAGAGCTGGATAAGAAAGCAAGGAAAAAAATGAGTGCATCTTTTATTCAGTAAGAATTATTAACAAACATCCAGAAAAGCTGAGATCCCAAGAAAAGTAAAATTATGCTCAGGAGAGTTCCTCAGATTCATTATTCTATATTCAAAAAACAGACTCCTCTGATGTAACTTTATGTTACTTTCATACAAATTGATTTCTTTGGTAAACCAAAAATAAAATTCTCAGCCCTTCAGCCAACTGAATGGATCCCTCCTCTTCACCAATGGCATTCTAAGTAAACCTGAAACACTAGTTCAGGCCATGATGGAAATGGGTGGTCAGACACGTCTCATCATATCTTCCTTCTTTTGGAATTCAGGCATGGCTGGCCTGCATTAACATTAAAACAGAGACGTTAAATCTTTAAGTCTGATTTATTTATTTTCTCTGAAGCCTGCTACCTGGAGGCTTCATCTGCATAATAAGAGCCTTGGTCTCCACAATCCCTTATTTATTTATTTATTTATTTATTTATTTATTTATTTATTTATTTATTATTTTTATTTTTATTTTTTTTGAGACAGAGTCTCGCTCTGTCGCCCAGGCTGGAGTGCAGTGGTGCGATCTCAGCTCACTGCAACCTCTGCCTCCCGCACAACCCCTTATTTTAACCCAGATACTTCTTTCTATTGATTACAGTTTGTTAGATAAACATTTTCAACCAATTGCCAATCAGAAAATCTTTGAATCCACCTATGCCCTGAAATCCATCCTGAACATTCCCCCACTTTTAGTCGACCTTCCTTTCCAGACTGAACCAATATACATCTTACATGTGTTAATTCATGTCTTATGCCTCTCTAAAATGTAAGAAATCAGGCCCTAGCCTGACCACCTTAGGCACATATCAGGACCTCCTGAGACTATGTCACAGGCATGTCCTTAACTTTTAGTCAAAATAAGCTTCCAACTTGATTGAGACTTAGATACTTTTTGGTTTACACTTTGAGCACACACACAAACACACACAAATTATATTTGTAGTGCAAATAAAGAAGTGATCCTCAAGACCTAAAGTTTCTTTTTCATTTTCCTTTTCTTCCCCCCAAAGCAAAGTTTCTATAGCCTCTTGCCCACGGAAAACAGCAAGACAAAGCATCTGCTGTCAAGACTGAGTGACAATTTGTAATAATTAGCATCAGGAACAATAGACCACTTTTTAAACTCCTACTCAGAGTGCTTAGCAAAGTATTCAAAGTCATTTAAAGTGTTTGAGAGCTAATAAGGACTAAAGAACTTGCAAGTGTTATGCACAGAGGCAATGAGCACTGCAGTCATTATACCACTGTAATTCCAACCAAAACAATCTCCCAAACAGTTGCACAGGAATTTAATGGTAACTCACTTTGAGGAGGAAGGTTCTTAAGTGTAGCCTTGAGCAGTAAACCTTTGGAAGGAAGATTAGTAGACAATTTTTGGCCTCATAGTCATAACCTTTATGGGTGATTCTACCTGAAATTTGGCTTCTGCCTAGCTGTATCTCAGATCCCTTGGAACACCTGTGTGCCTGAGATTTGCTGCAAGGGTGCTATTGCCATTTTCAGGAGAAGACTTATGCCAGCTGCTTTGCAATTGGTAAGGGATCTATTTGAGACAGAAAGAAGTCTAGGAAATAACTGAGAAGGAGAAAGCATATAAAGTAACTTAGGAGTCATGCTTTTCATGTCACATAGATGGGATTTTCTTTCCCTGGGTTGTCTTTTTGAATTCCTCCTTGAAATAGCAGCAATGCAGAATTCTGAGGAAACAACACCTGTTCCGACCCCAGGGCAGGCTTTTGGGCAGTAATCCTTTTGGATACCAATTTATTCAAGTCTGCTAAATAATTAGTGAGTCAACTTTCCTAGTTGATTTCCATTCCTATGGGCAATACTGAGTCTTTTCTAATTTGAATCATTTTATAAGATAATTCTAGAATATAGTTTCCAACAAATGAGATTCCACTTTACCTTAACTGAATAATGAAATTCTCTGTGTTAAAGTTTTAATAAATATTTTTAAAATTATTCTTTAATTAGAGAAAAATCCCCAAAATGTATGTATTTGTATTATGTGAGGCAAATTATTATTTTAAACATGGAAAACAAAAAAATATAATTTAAGTCCCTTCTGAAATCTAGCAGCATATTCTTTTTAGGACAATACTTACAATATTATTATTTATTTCACACGTTTTATTATTTTAATGTAAACATCTAGAAAGTAAAAATGACTCATAAATGACAGGTATTTGTAGATTTCCTGTGCATTAGTTCATCGAAAACAACCTTGGCACAAATGGTACAGTTAATAAACATGTTTCAGAGCTGTGTATAATTTAATTCTAGAATTAAGCAATTAGGTAACTTGCATGTATGAATATATAAAGATTAATATATACATATGTTATTTACAACTATGTGTGACTATTAAGTGTCATGTAAACTGAGTCCTTTTGAGGGGAGGTGCCAGCTGGGCTTCCTGGGTGGAGTAGGGGCTCAGAAACTCAGTCATTTCCTGCATCAGGACTTCCTTCTGTCCTGGATGAATAATATTGAAGATATATGCTTAAAATATTCCTAACACCAGGATTTGTGCATGTGTTTTCTTCCCCAAGAAAGCTATAAACAGCGAAAATTTTGCTGTAAGTTTCCCTGTTTCCTGTCTCCCTCTCTTCCCCCTCCCTGAAACTAAAGTAAAAGGAATGTTAACTGCCGGTTTTCTGTGACCAGCAGACCTTATCTATACCCCCAATTCCAATTCCTTGTAAACATACTTTGTAAAGTCCTGTAAGATCCTGTCTCCTTTGCCATGCCACTGCAAGGTCATAAAGTAGATAAAACCTAAGTTGCAATTCCGGTTTTCCTCAAAATCTAAGACATGTCACAAAATAATTTACTGCCTTCATTTCTTGCTCTGGTAACATCTTTCTGCCGCACGTATTTCCCGCCTTAAAGAGTTTAAAAGGCGATCACCCAAGTCCAGCAGTGGCTACCCCGTTCAGGACCCCTTTCACGCTGTGGAAGCTTTGTACTTTCACTCTGCTCAATAAAGCCTACAGCTTTTTCTCGCTCTTTGTTCGTGTCTCTATCACAGCCACCACACCAATTCTTTGGCGTGGCTAGGCAAGAACCTTAGGCATTACACTTTGGAAGTATCTGACATATAAACATTACATTGTTCCATATATTAGACACATACAAATAATTTAAAACTTTATTTCTTCTGTATTATATCTAAAAAAAATAATTATTAAATAAATGAGATCCCACAAAATAGGGCCTTGAGACAGGGCCTTGCCCTGTCACCCAAACTGGATGGCAGTAGTGCAATCACAGCTCATTGCAGCCTTGATTCCCATGCCCAAGAGATCCTCCCACCTGAGCCCCACAAGTAGCTGGGACCACATGCTCATATGACCATGCCTGGTTAATTTTTAGAAAAAAATTTTTGTAGAGATACTGTCTCCCTATGTTGCTCAGGCTGGTCTCAAATGCTTGAGCTGAAGTGATCCTTCCATCTCAGCCTCCCAAAATGCTGGGATTACAAATGTGGGCCATATCGCCCTGTAGCAGGACAAGCCGCAGACAAAACCTCTCAGATACCCAGTTGTAGAAGGAAGGGCTTTATTCAGCTGGGAGCATCGGCAAGCTACTGCCTTAAAATCCGAGCTCCCCGAGTGCACAATTTCTGTCCCTTTTAAGAGCTCGCAACACTAAAGATTTCACATGAAAGGGTCGTCATTGATTTGAGCAAGCAGGGGGTATGTGACAGGGGCTGCATGCACTGGTGGTCAGACCGAAACAGAACAGGGCAGGGAGTTTCACAGTGTTCTTCTATACAATGTCTGGAATCTATGAATAACATTGGTTTCTAAGTTATGAGTTGATTTTTAACTACTGGATTTAGTCCAGGCAGGCCCAGGCCTGGTTTCGGGCCTGGCGTCAGGCTGCCTGTCTTTGGTTTTACTTCCTTGTTGTTTTTTCTTAAAACAAGTACTGAGTATAAAACAATATAAAATAATATGAGAGGGTCTTTCTCTTCCTTCAGCCCAGCCTATATTTTATATTTTTACAGTGCTAAAATGCTGATATTTAATAATAATAATAAATGGTATTGCTATGTAGAAAGAAAATTAGATTTGGATGAGAATTAAACATTTTAAACATTTCACCTGAAATTATAATCTATTATTGGATGCCTTTTTTAACATACATAGTCTCAAATATACCTAATACTATTACATTGCAAAAATTAAAGTTCATGGAAATTGTTTTAATGTACATTTTAGTATAACCCTCATTGTATTATTATTATTATTTTTAAAGTGAGCATTCCTTTTAAAATAAAAAATATACATATACAAAATTAGCAATTAAACTTTTCTGACTGTTCAGACCATACATAACCAGTGAGTTTTCTCAGTCATGATCATATGTGAAAACAGCATTAACATAATAAACCAAAATACTATTCTGAAATGTACTTGCAAAAAACCATAATATTTTTTACTATAGTTAATGTTGAAGCTAGTCTGCTGTTTAATTTATTTTTAAACTAAGTTGTTTTGAGAATGACCTGGAGAGATATCTGGATAATTTAGTAATTTCTTGTATTATACAAAATAGTCATATTACGTATAACTTAACAATATGTCATCTAGTTGTAGAGATGATATTTCTGGAGTTCACACCTTGTATATTTTGTCTGACAATATACAGTAACTTGGCATTTGTTACAGTTTGAGTATGTCCCCTAAAAATTATGTGTTAAAAACACAATCCCAATGCAAGAGGGATGGGAGATAAGCCTAATGAGAGGCCTTTAGGTCATGAGCAATCCACCCTCATGAATGGATTACTGCTGATTATAAAAGGGCTTGAGGTTGCAATTTCAATCTCTTGTTCACTCTGTTCCTCTCTTGTCCTTTTGTCTTATGACACGGGATGACACACCACAAAGGCCTTCCCTGGTAGTACTTCATGAAGATGTGGACACCATGCTTTTGGACATCCCAGCCTCCAGAACAATGAGCCAAATAAATTTCTCTTCATTATAAATTACCCAGTCTGTAGTGTTCTGTTACAGCTTCACAAAACAAACTAAAACAGCATTGTTTTTTTTTTTTTTGAGTAATCTTAGCTAATTCTTACTAGGATAAAAGAAACAATGTTGTCCTAATTTCAAACATGGATATCATTGTTTGAGATAAAAAGCTTTTTTTATGAATTTAATTCCATCATAATCTTAGTAGTAGCTAAAAATTAGTAAAGTATGTGTATTTTGTCTGCATAATGCAACCTAAATGTATATTTAATATAACGTAAATGTTTAATGTAATGTAATGTAAAATAATATATTTTCTTCTAATTCACTACATAATGAAAAAATGGATAAATTTACAAACTATAATTGCCATACAATTTGATTTACAAGAATTTCTTTTATATCAAGACCTTATAATGGTAATGCCACTTACCTTTTGATCAACTCTCCATCATTATTTTTCATTCACTTAAGTGACTACATCCTTCAGTGATTTGGAGGCCTGCAGCCACTTGAAGTGTATTCTCAGAGGGTTCAAAATATAACATTAGATTTCTGTTTCACTTTGATATTTTATTTCATGGCAGCTATAACAAATAACCTAAGATGTTTCTTCTGTGATAAGGTAATATTAATTCCCAGCAACAGATGTGGATTTCTCAGTTTTTCTGCCAGGTACAATTTGGAAAATACAGTTGCTATATTTATTCACAATTTTACTTTTGCTCTTTTGACTCAACCTGGCTATATAACTAGAGATAGTATACACCGTTGACTAAAATTATTTTTGAATAAGACTGTTTAGAAGGCACTTTTAAATATTTGTTTTGTTTATTTGCTATTGTGTTTCACTTCCTAACATTCCTTTCATCAACAATATGATACGTTAGAAATATTTACATAAACACCTTTGAGAGTTGTGGTCAATTGCAAAGTTTAGAATAAACAGTCAACAAAAGACTGCCATTATGTCAGATATCAATTGAAAATTCACGGGACAAGGTACACAACACTACCCCTGTATTTGATTTCACTAGAAAGACTCACGGAACTCATTTAAAGCTGTTATACTTTTACTTGTGGTTACAGCTCATTACAGAAAAAGAATACGGATTAAAATCTGCCAGGAGATGAAGTATGATACCTAGGTCAGAATCCAGCAAAGGTACCAAACGTGAAGCTCCTATTGCCCTCAACCTGGGGGAGTGGCAAATTTATTAGCTTCTGGGCATTAATATGTAACCATATGCATGAAGTATTCTTAACTAGAAAAGCTTTCAAGTCTTTGATGTCCAGAATTTTCAATAGGGTTCAATCACTTACCACTGCTGTGGCTCACATTTAGTCTTCAGCCCTTTCTGGAGGTTGGACTGACATTTTTACTTTCCAGGCACTTTTGGAGGCAGAACTGAAAACTTGTGGCCCAAAGATTCCATCATAGAACACTTTTAGACTTGATAGTGGCCAAAGCTCCCAAGCAAAGACATTCCCATCAGGAAGGATATTCCAGTGGCCTAGAGATCACTAACCAAGAAACTAAAGATGAAGGCCAGACCTATCTATCATTTGGTAAAGTTAATTCTTCACTATGCAAAAGTTAAAATTACTAAACCTGAAACAGGCACATTGAATTCAGCAAATGTATGAAGCATTGAGTTTTTTTCATCTGTTTTTGAGACGGAATTTCATTCTTGTTGGCCATGGTGGAGTGCAATGGCACAATCTTGGCTCACTGCAACCTCTGCCTCCCAGGTTCAAGCAATCCTCCTGCCTCAGCCTCCCAAGTAGCTGGGATTACAGGCATGCACCACCACTCCTGGCTAATTTTTTGTATTTTTAGTAGAGATGGGTTTTCTCCATGTTGGTCAGGCTGGTCTCGAACTCCCAAACTCATGTGATCCACCCACCTTGGCCTCACAAAGTGCCGGGATTACAGGTGTGAGCCACTGCCCCCAGCCACCATTTTTTTTTTATTTTGCATTTCTAAAAATTTCTGTGGCTTAACACAGAACTATAGTAAAATCATGATATAATTCAGGGATGCTACCTTGCATATTATTCAAAACTTTCAGTATGAATTTAGAAAGTCCTGGTTTTGCATTTCAATTCAGTTATTAAGCATGAAACACAAGAAAATACAGAACAGAAAGTGTTTTCCATCCCTGTTTCCAAATCAGCCCCTTATATTAAAGTGAAATTCTCATGGGTGCATTGCTTCAGTATCACTTCATGAGGATACATATCTATGTATGTTAGACATAGGTAAGTGGTGTGTGTGTGTGTGTGTGTGTGTGTGTGTGTGTGTGTGTGTATTTCGCCCTCAACCAGATGCACAAGGAAGAGTAAAGCAAAAGCAGACTTTCTTCTCCAACTCTCTTCTCTCTATTTTCCCATTTGCCCTTTCTCTAAACAGAACCTCTTTCTTTTATATTTACTAGAGTAAATTGACTGGCAAATGAGAGCCTTATTCCCATTATCCACACAAAACTCATAATCAATAAATGAATAGCAAACAAATTTGAGTACATGATGATAAAAGTATATCATCTCAAACAAAAAGAACTCCTAAAATATAAGACAGAAATATTCTATAAAAATTTGGTAGACCGTTAATATAAAATTTACAAAAGAAGAAATACAAAAATGATAAAACAACATTTTCAGCTACACTAATAGGTAGAGAAATACAAATTGCAGTGACAATAATTTTATATTTTTGCAAAATAGATTTACAGGAACATCACTTTTTCTTTTTTTTTTTTTTTTTTTTGAGACACAGTCTCGCTCTGTCGCTGCAGTGGCACAATTGCTGCCACTGCAACCCCCGCCTCCTGGGTTCAAGAGATTCTCCGTCACAGCCTCCCGGGTGGCTGGGACTACAGATGCCCGCCACCATGCCCAGCTAATTTTTTTTGTATTTTACTAGAGATGGGGTTTCACCATGTTGGCCAGGCTGGTGTCGAACTCCTGACCTCAGGTGATCCACCTGCCTCTGCCTTCCAAAGTGCTGGGATTACAGGCATGAGCCACTGCTCACTGCCTCCAGGAACATTCTTAAGCACATTTATTGGGATGAGATCAGGGACCATATTTAAATCCCTTTTTGGTATATGCTCAATGGCTACCATGTTAGCTTGCAGGTAATAGACACTCAATGCATATTTATTCAATAGATTTTAGAGTATAATTCTAGATTGAATGTATTTTGCTTATAATTAAAACAAGTTCATAAGCTTTGATCATTGACTGAATGGAATGTAGTCTTGACAGTTTTTATTAAATTTGAAAAGCTCACTCTGGACATATTTCTGAATGTAAGTCCAGTTTATTTCTATGTTGTAGATTGTACTAAATTATCAAATAGGAGGAATGTAATTTGGACACCACAGCAGTAAAGCTGCTTTCAAAATCTTTCTATAGTAACTAATTCCTGACGTATATAAAATCATGTATGCACATGTGTGTATATAAGTATGTGTGTATGTATTTACTACCTATTTGTGATTCTCATAATTACATGGCAAAATTCTTAGAGTTGATTATGAATATATTATGAAAAAATTAAGAAAGCCTACTCTAAAACATTAAGTAATATAGTCAAGACTAGAAACATTTATTAAATATGGAGATGAAAATAAAATTCAGTCTTCTGACTCTCAGCCCATTACTCTCCTTCTACAGTACTAGACATCTTCTCTTTCTAATTGGACTCTTGGAAACCCTAAATTTATCTTCCTATGTACAAAGTAACATGGAGAAATATTATAATACTACAAACAAAGCAGAAAAAAACTATTTTTGCATATATAAATTTCTAACTCTTTTAAATCTAGTACTTGTAAACACTAATTTCATACCTAATGTAGAAGATGAAAAAGGGAAAAAACAACTCTTAAAAATGGTTTTCCTCTTTTTCTGGCTAGGTTGTTGCTTCTGTAGTTTAGTTCCCTTTCAGCACTATCAGTCTCTTTTAAAGTAGCAGCACATCTGTGTCTAATACATCCCTTTCAAGGACTGTTATTCTCTTTTGGATAATTGTTTTTCTAACATTATTAGGGCTTTCTAGGCTTTAAGTTTTCACAATATATACTACAAGATAATTTGAACTAAAAAGAGAATAGCATGTAGAAAATTGTTGTCTTCCCTCAGTTTTAAAACAGAATTAACCTTAAAACTGAAAGTTATTTATTTAAGCGTTAATTAAATAGCTAAATCAACTTAGCTTATACAAGGCTCAAAAATTTCTGTTGTCTGGAGAACGTTCATCTTTTCCAAAGTTTCACTCACTGTTCCACTAATGATTTAAATTTTAGATTCAAACGTATTAGAAACTATAGTTCTAATAAGTATGAAGGTCATCTCTGTTTCTCCTAAAAATAAAGGCTTACTAAGACCAAATAGCCTAGATTTATAAGTAGGCAAATGTGGGTACTTTTGTCTCTGTTTGTTACTTATCTATTAATAAGTTACCAAATAATTTATCATTATAAATATTACAATCTTATAATTATCATAATCATCACCATTATTCTATTACTTTCCCCAGTTTATTACATATATTAGATAGCGTATATGGTTTTATACTTTTAAAATTAGAATAATAAAATTCAATCTCCCCAAATCATATTTTAGAAGAATAAAAGTTTTGTATATTTTTTATTAATAACAGGTACACCTTTTCAAATTTTTGACACAGAATGACACATTTTGGCAAATACGTTCTGCTGCTTATTCCTAAGAACAAATAATATTTTTCTTGGTAAAATTTCACTGAGAATGCATGATCTCATAATATTCATTATTAAAAAGAACTATGAAGAATATTAAAAACTGAGACTATTTTTCTGACCTATATGTTTAATTTCATTTGCAGGTATTATGAAATAAAATATATTAATTCAATATTTGAGTTGCATTGTTTGATAACTTTAAGTCAACAAAATATTTTATAGTGAAATATTTTATAATTATACAATCACCAAAGTAAAATAATTATTTAAAAAATGTTAAGAAATTATCAAAGCACCTTGTTAAACATGTATTCTAATTTCAATTCACTTGAATTTATGTCCTACTATCTAAATTCCCTGTTGAACTCAGTCAATAGGGCTAGCAAAATGCAAAATTTTTACATCTTCATGCAAAATATGCACTGATTCTCAGCTTTTTCCTCAAGGCTAAGCATTCACAGACAGTCATTGACTACATTTCTCTCTACAGTGTAGTTATGTTGACAGTGATATAGATCAACAAATTATTTTTTATAATTCAAGATGTTCAGGGTAAATTCAATCTCTGTTGATTTCATAGAACTTGAACAACTTCCTCTCTCTCTCTCTCTCTCTCTCCTCTCCCTAAGACTGCATCTGTGTACTCAGATATGTGTGTGTTATCAACCCATGCTATTGATTTTCTCTTCTCTTCTTGATGTAGTTACTGTATCCTGATGACCTAATAAAAATTTGTTTAAGAAAACTATGTAAAATTAGTTCATTAAGACATTATATGAGGTCATAACATACATTATCCAGAATAAAAAGAGAGAGGAAGTCTACGCTGTAATCAGCTAGAGAGGATGTACACAGACACACAAACACACACACATGCATGTGCACGAGCCTAACAAGAATCTAAAATGCTATTGAAATAATCTATAATGACATTTAAATTTGAAGTAGGATACCAAATGACTTTTGTATTAAAGTAAAATATTGTTGTATCTCCCAATTTGACATTTATGTCTAAGCTATATCCCCTTAGACAAGTAGAAAAGATCTAATAAATAAAGTAATAAAGAAAATAGGAAAAGTAGTCTATATTCCTAACATCTTAAAGAGACATCACTCATTTTTTAAATTAATGGTAGCTAAAAAATAGTGATTATAAATCTCTTTCAAGGCTTGTTACAAGAATAGCAGTAAATATACTGTTAAAATCTACATTATTCTCTTTTTAAAAATAATCTGTTTCGAGATTATGTCAATTTTTTTAATATCATAAACAAACATTGTGTTATGAAAGTAATGAAACAATGTAATAATGGTTTTGTTTGATAGTGCACTTGAGGAAAGAGGCCGTTATCTATTGGAAACAAAATTAGTTTGTAAATTCATTCTGAGAATGAATTTGTGTTAACAGTTTATTGGTGACAGTTATTTGAAAGTAATGATTCAAACACAATGCAGATAAATTTTTTATCTTATAAAATTTTAATAAGAATACTTTTGTTGGAAGTTTAATAAAACTTTCATCAAAGATAAAAATATTCCCCTGAAAGCATTTCAGTCATTTTATACAAATTACAATTTGGTTAATCAAAATGAACAGCGAAAGAAATACTGTGTGTTATAATTTTTAGGATATAATGACTTTATTAGTATAAGCATGCCAAGTAATTCTATGAGTATATTAAAACTTTGTTAAATTTCCTAAATGATCTTAATTAGGTTTATTATCATTCTAAAACATAAAAAAGATATAGTGATAACTAAAAGTGTCAATAAATAAAGAAAAAGTTTGGAACGGTTACTGATTAATATTATGTTTGTGTTTTATTTTACAAAATTATAATTAGTGTGTAAACTAGATTTATGGATGTTTTGAAATAGATCAAAATGAGATGAGCAAAATTCTAAAAGAATTTAAAAACATTAAGGCAGTGTTTACATGTGTGATATTATTTGATGATTATGAGTAGAGAATTCTGTTAAGTTAAAAAAATAGAAGTTTCATTTAGATATTCAACCTTTGAGATAATAACCATAAGTAGTATATTAATAAATGTATTAAAATACTCAAACTTATTGTCATTTAATAATTAGTCAAATGTAAGGTAACTTTTAGTAGTTATAAAAATATACATTTTTCTTTTATTTATTTGTACTGTAGGATATTTTAAAATATTCATTTAAAAATGCTTATTCTTTAAAATAAAAATAGAAATTTAGCCATTCTGAATTTAAATGTTTAAGAAATAAAATATTATAAACATATCAAATGATTTAAGGATTAGAAATAAGCAAACATTATCTATACAAAAAAGGAACATTTAAAGAGCTTATAATTTACTAGCTCTATATTCAATAGATTATAAGATTCCAGTGTATGCAGTTACTTACACAATTACAGACATAAAATAAAGCATTGAAATATTTTCCTTAAAAAAGTAATAAATTATGCTGGTTTTAGTCTGTATAATTTATAAAACAACCTTTGCTAACCAGTGGTCAAGTATGTTCCAAATATTATAGCTATTGACATTACTATCTATTGTTATTATCATTGTTAATTAGAAAACAGCAATCAATGTCTATTATACTAGAAAGTAGTTATTCTATTTACTTGATAAATAAGAATGTTAATATAGTTCATCAAATAAGTGCTTTTTCTTTAATTATCTTTATATATAATTTTTAACTTATGTAAATCTCATTTGAAGCCATGATATAATATGTTGAAATGTTCTAAAATGAAAAGTAACACAATTTCAAAATATAAGTAAAAAGATAGTTTACAGTTACATAAAATTTCTAAGAATTACATTATATATTTATTAATAAATGTATATATAAATAACATTGCAAATAATCCATCTAAATGTGAATAAGAATTTCTCTACTGTAGAAATATAATTTTAAAAATCATACATATATCTATTTTCAACAACTAACAGAGTAAGTTACTTACTAACCTCTTCTAGATTTTTTTTGTAAAAATAGAGAATAGGTAGAATCAGGCATTCTGTGATTTTTTCATCTCGTGTGGCTCATCAATGTATAACCGCAATGGTCTTGTTTTGTTTGGTGCTTTATAAGCATCTGGATGGATCTGAGGAAAATACTACAACTTTCACAGGCACATACTTAAGTTGAGCCAATAGTGCTACTGACCTTTTAAAGCTGTGAGTAACTTCACAGCCAAAATAATAATCATAAAAGTATTAGATGCTTTCCATTAAGCATGGTCCTAATGAAGAATTGTGCTTTCAAAAATTAGTTTATACATAATCTAACATAGTACTTAGTTCCCAAAAGCAAACATAAAAGCTAAAACATAAAATGTAAGCCTTTTTATCAATGTGAGGCTAATGCTAAGTAACCTCCTATTCATTCTTCTAATGGGATGTAGCGTACTCGAAGAAAAAACTGGTTTTTTATAAACTTATATTCTTTCAGTAGTACACCTTGGAAAATACATCAACAACTTTACTCTGCAAATAAAGTTCAGTGCATAATTGTTTTAATTTATGTATATTTCATATTTTAAAAATTAATTTAGTTAATTCCTATTGGCTTTTTTAAAAAGAGTAAGAACATACAATATCTCTCTCTTTTTTTTTTTTCCTCTATCAACAGTTTGTCTCTATAGCTAGGACACAAAATATAAAAACTTTCATTATTGCTGGCTGAAATGTCAAACAGATCCATTTTTAAATCATATGTGATATATGCTTCTAAGGCTTTCTTAAGCAAGATAATGGTTCATCCACACATCAAAAGGAAAAAATTCACTAATTAGAAGAGTATCTGTTTGGCTTTTGCTTTTTTAAATATAACTTTTAACCATTTTAAAAACTGTCTGTTTTTAGAGAGAGATTCTTATACTGGCATGCACTTAGAATGATTAAGTACATGAATCCAGGTAGAGTAAGATAGCTTTATTTCTTCTATCTTCTCTTATTATGTTAGAATGAATAGTTTATATCCAAGTGAATTACCCTTGGTATTCATCTCTGTCACTTGCCCCTTTTCTTTGTGTCAGTCTTTATCTATTTCTATCACTCACTGTGCAATGTGAGTCTTAGATTGGGTATTCACTACAACTGTTGATTACCAGTGCCTGATCTGAAAATCAAATATGAGAGAGAATTCAAGAGGAGAGAAATTCTAAATATCCATTCAGAGAATCTCTTCTATGCTTAAGACTTTATTCTAACTGTATTGAATATTTAAATATTAAATCGGTCTGCAGGATTATAAATTTATTATGACCCATAACTGGCAGCCTGTGTAAACCTTTCTTATATTCCAATAAAAGAAATATAATTCAAATAAAAATATGAAATTTTCATATGATGTCTTTGAAAAGAACTAGTAAACAATTAATTTCCAGTGTCTGGAAAAGATTTTCCATAATTAGACTGAAAAATAAACAACTAAAATCCTGTATTCTATGCCAATGAAAAGTAAGAAGAGCAGCCTGTTTTAGTCTGTTTGGACTACTAAAAACAACGATACCATTAACAGTGGGTTAAACTGCAAACAGTTATTTCTTACAGTTCTGGATGCAAGGAAGTTCACAATGAGGGCTACAGAAGATTCGGTGTCTGGGGAGGGACTGCTTCCCTGTCTTTAGATGATCATCTTCTTTCTCTGTCCTCACTTGGCAGAAAGAGAATAAGGAGCTCTCTGGGGTCCCCTGAGTAAGAGCACTAGTCTTATTTATGAAGGCTCTGTCCTTATCACTTAGTCACCTCTCAAAGGCTCCAACTTCTAATGCCATCACATTGGGGAATACAACTTCAACATGTACATTTTTTCTTTTGTTTTGAGACAGGGTCTTGCTCTGTCACCCAGGATAGAGTGCAGTGGCACCATCCCAGCTCACTGAAGCCTCACACACTTCTGGGCTCAAGCCATCGTTCCACTCAGCCTCCAGAGTAGATGTGACCCCAGGCATAAGCCACCACACCCAGCTACATTTTTAACTTTTTGTGGATACAAGGTCTCACTATGGTAACCAGACAGGTCTGTAACCCCTGGGTTCAAGCTATCCTCCCACCTGGGCCTCCCAAAGTGCAAGGATCACATGTATGAGTCATTGCATCTGGCCACATCTAAATCTTGTAGGGACGCAAACATTCATTTCTTCACACTGTGCCATAGAGATTAGGTAAAATGATCCTCTCTTATTTTTATTACCTCAAATGCCATACCTTTATTCTATCTGTCATCTGAGTAGAAGACTGTGAACTCTTAACTTTAAACTCTAAAAAAAAAATTGTCCCCAAAACTTTCAAGATGTAATAACTAAATTCCTAGGGTAAAACAAGTCAAATGAGGACACAGGAAAGGCTACATTACAAATTGGATTTATTGTGATTTTCAAAAATTTAAAGTAATTCAAGAAAACCAAAATGATTTATATATACTTTTTATGTGTATGATGTGTTTTTCATTGAGACAGAGAGAGCAACTAGGATTAAACTTTGTCTCACAATGAAGAAGCTACATAAACGAGATGTTTGCTAGATGTTAAGAAAGAAAAGTTATACACATCAGCCTGCTTTTGTGTGAGCATCTCAAATGATTATTAATCTAGCACAAATGTGGATAAGAGATAAGACCTTGGCAACACAGACATCCTATATGATGATAAGCAATTTCTCAAGGTTGAAATGTCCTTGTTTTATGATGACTAAGGGTGAAAATAAACCACTCACAAATAATATTGAGAAAGTAAAACAACAAGCAAATGAAAAGATTTCCTTGAAGGGTCAGAGTAAAAAATAGGTCTATGCACTACAGTAAATTCAATATGTTTTATAATAGTATGACATGCTTCTATACAAAAGTTAAAAAGTTATAAATAGAAAAATTGAGATTAAAAGCACAAATATAAACCAATAAGAGAATGACATTTAACAGAAATAGATCTACTATGTTACCTGACACATTCGAGCTGACCAAATAGTATTTATGTAATGGAGCAAAGATTGCATTAAAAGTGATTGTAAACACCTTCCAGCCCCCCAAAAAGTAATACCAAAATTAAAAAGCACATTGGAGGTAATTGGTTGTCATTGCTATAATGGCACATTATTAATTGTTACTATACATCGGTATTCAGCAATTTTGTTAAAGTGATTTACAAATTATGTTGAAGTTTCTATATATTTGCATTACCTAGAAACAACCACAATTTTGAATCTCCTTTTAAATCTATACGACACTTAAGTCTGTCTGTTGCCTAACTTCAGTGACTAAGACATTCAATATAATATTGAATAGCATAAATAGCAATGTACATACTCATATTGTTTCTGATGTTAGTTGAGAGGCTTGTGAATTTCAGTATAAAGTATAATGTCTAGTAAAAGACATTTTGTAGGTTCCTAAGAATAAATATAATCCAATTTGTGCAAGACCATTATATAAAACTTAACAAAGTATTATTAAAAACAAAAGAACATCTATCATTAGGGGAAATAAAAAATGTAAAGATGGCCATTTTCTTATAGTTAATATATGACTCCAGTGCCAATCTCATTAACAAATGAACAATAGCTTTTTTAGAAATTGAAAAAGGATTCAATTTTTTAATTTCTAAAAAGAGTTAGGCAATTTTAAAAAAAGCAAAAATAGAACATATCTAACCAGGGAGAGAAACTTATTATAGAACTGAGAATATATTTTTGACAAAGGGATACTCTATAAATCAGTGAGAGAAAGAAGAGGCCAGATATAGATACATAAATACATACAGTAATTTGCCATATGTCACATATTATATACATATATATGATAGAAAATGAATTACAAATCAGTAAATTGTGATGTATGGTGAATATCTATTCATCTATCACATATAAATACATATGTATACACACCCATAGATAGCATATATAAATACATATATACACAATTAGATTCCTACACCATATCATATCATAAAAAATTTCAGATGTATTTACACATAAATAAGAAAAATTTTAAATTTTTGTATGAAAATACAGGAAAAATATCTCAGTGATTCATCATGGGGAAAAAATCAGAAAATAACACATCAACAACAGAAAGTCTAAAGAAAACTATTCATTTATGAATTTATTCAACAATTATTGATGCAAGTTTCATATGCCAGGAATTTTTCCAGATTCTAAGACTATAACAGTTAATAATACAAAGTTCCCTGCATACATGAAATTTAAAATGTAGTTAATAATAATTTGGCTCCATTCAAAATGAGATAACAATGCAGAATGAGAGGAGACATTTGAAATATATCACACAAGATGTTTCTATGCTTTTTTTTTTTTTGAGACAAGATATTACTCTGTCACCCAGGCTGAATGGCAGTGGCGTGATCTTGACTCACTGCAACCTCTGCCTACTGGGCTCAAGTGATCCTGTCACTTCAGCCCCTGGAGTAGCTGGGACTACAGGCACGTGCCACCAGGCCATGCTATTTTTGTATTTTTTGTAGAGATGGGGTTTCTTCATGTGGCCCGGGCTGGTCTTGAGCTCCTGGGCTCAAGCAATCTGCCCACCTCAGCCTCCTAAAATGCTGGGATTACAGACATGAGCCACCCATGCCTGGCCAATTATTTTTTAATTAAGAAAAAGAAAGACCAAACAAAAAAAAGATAAAAACCAAGAGATGACAGAATATTTTTCATTTGCTTTTTTCTGTCCATTTTCCGTACTTTTCTAGCATTCTCCATAACCTGGAAGACTGTACTTTGTAGACTGCATCAAGGTCCCCCTTGCCTTCTACATTCATGTTTGGGCTTGGCCATTGAGAGCAAATCAGTAGGTGATCAGAAGATGTGAAAAGAGGAAGGCAAGGCATTTATTTTCCTGGCTACCTACCTCTTTCCACACCCTGTATTAACTGCATTCCTATACAAAAGTTACAGTTTCTGTAAGGTAGCTATCTACAATGGCTCTGTATTTCATGTCCTAGGCATTACTTTCTTCTTCAGGTCTGCTGGTATTAATAGCTCCTTGAGGATTTTAGTCCCAGGGTGCTTCAACACTTGGTTTGCCTTAACATGGCCCATATCTGTATAAAGTGTCCCTTTTGTAAGTTCTTCTTAGTTACCTCATTTAAGTTTACTGTCTGTTTCCTGTTGGAGCCCTGAGTAATATAATAGCCAATAAAAATAAAAAGGAAATTACAGAAAAGTAAACCTGAATTGTCAATATACTTCTACAATATCAAATTAAGATAGATAGGAATTAGAAATACAGCACAAAACCATCAAGATTTGACATTTTCAACCCACTGAAAGAGGGAACAATTTGAAAGGTCTAACAATATCAAGTGCTGGCAAAGATATGGGGATGCTTATTGATAAAAGTGTAAGTTATTTAATTGCTTTTAGAAGGCAATTTGGGCATATAAAACAAAGTGATGCATATATGTAAATATTTATATATGAGAAAAGAAGCAATTTTATATATGTATGTGTGTATACACACACAAGTATATGGCAAGAGTGAGAGAGGATATATATATATATATATATATATATATATATATATATCTAGAACTAGAAAAATGTTGCTTATATATAGAACATTTATCTCAACTTCATTTTTTACAGGAAACTTTGCTTAAAAAAATAATTGCTCAGGCTGGGCACAGTAGCTCACGCCTGTAATCCTAGCAATTTGGAAGGCTGAGCTGGCCAAATTGCTTGAGCCCAGGAGTTTGAGAACAAACTGGGCAACATAGTGAACCCCCACTCTACAAGAAATATAAAAATTAGCCTGGCATGGTGGCACATCCCTGTGGTCCTAGCTACTTGGGAGGCTGAGGTGAGAAGATCACCTGAGCCTGGGGAGGTCAAGGCTGCAGTGAGCCGATATCATGCCACTGTGCTGCAGCCTGGGCAAGAGAGTGAGACCTTGCCTCAAAAAAAAAAAAATTGTTCATCAGATGGGAAATGAAAATATAAATCTTATAATGCTTATGAAATAGAATATGCAGTTCAAGTATTTCAGATTTCTAAGAAAAAACTAACACCCCATTAAAAAGGGACAAATACTAAAATTAGGATGATTAAAAATGTCATAAGTGATCTGTATTTTAAAATATTCTATATACATAACCAAGGATTTTGTAAACAATGAGTTTTTCATCTACTTCATGTGTATATTTTTCTTGCTGTACTTGCCTAAGATATTTAGAATCATGTTATAAATACAATAGCATGCATTCATTCAAAATCACACATTAAGTGTGATGATGGCTGAGCTGATTTAATGAAGCTGGCTTCTATTCTTGGACTGTCTTTTTCTTATTCTTTGTTTTTCTTTTTCATTTTAGTCTTTGAATTTTATTACTTTTTTTACATTAGTTGACATAAACATATTATTGTTCTCATTATTCTGTTGGTCTCATTGGTATTTAATATTGCTTGCTAATTCTTCATTTTGAATTATTTGAATCTATGTTTAAAAAATGAGGTTGGGGCCAGGTGCAGTGGCCCACGCCTGTAATCCCAGCACTTTGAGAGGCCAAGGCGGGCAAATCAGGTGTGATCAGTAGTTTGAGACCAGCATGGCCAACATAGTGAAACCCCATCTCTACTAAAAATACAAAAATTAGCTGGTTATGGTGGCACATACTTGTAATCCCAGCTACTCGGGAGGCTGAGGCAGGAGAATTGCTTGAACTCAGGAGGCAGAGGTTGCAGTGAGCCAAGATTGTGCCACTGCACTCCAGCCTGGGCGACAGAGTGAGACTCTATCTAAAAAAAAAAAAAAAAGAGATTGGGTAAGTTTAAAATTTCCCAGTGTTCTCAATAGATTTTGTTTTCAAGGTAGCGCAGGTCTTAAACATAAAGCTGAAAAGTGTTCAATATTTTTCTGTTATTTGGAAACATTTTGTAGAATATTGCTGTTGTTTTTTCCTTAAGTATTGATGAAATTCATAAATGGGCCTTCTAGGTTTCTATGAGTTTTTCCTGTGCAAAGTCTATTAATATGAAAGTCAATTTATTTACTGTAACAAAAATTATTCAGCTTATAGTTTTTGTGCTAATGTTAAACGTTTAGCTATTTTTGGAATAGGTCTATTTTATTTACATTTTCGTACTTGCTAGGAAAAACATGCAAAATATATTTAGTAGTTTTTAATAATATTTGGATTGTTTTAATATCATTTTGTATTTCTATTAAATCTCATGAGGGATTTAATTAATAGTTTTAGTCTTTTCAAATAATCATTGCTATGCTTTATTGAATATGTTTACTGTCTTTTTTACTTCTGTATTATTATTTTTTTTCTGCCCAGTTACTCTTTCCTTTACTTTATTGGAGTGGTTTGTGTTTTTTTCATAACTTTTTGGAACAGATGCTTAAATGATGGAATTTCTACTATTCTCTAATACATGCAATTAATGTTATAAATACTTTCTAAGTACAGTGTTGTCATCGTTTAAAATGTTTACTTTGTACTATTTTTATTAAGTTCAAATATTTTCTCATTTGCTTTATTTCTCTTTTGACTCAAAGGTTATTGAGAAATGCATTATGTCATTTCAAAGTATAGAGGAATATTTTTAGCTTTCTTGTTTTTAAATATTAGCCCATAAAATATGCAATAAATGATTTAAATTAATTTTAATGTTTAATACTTCCTTTGGGTCCCAGAAATTGATTATTATAGAAAATACTCTGTGTGCCCTTGAAAATAAACATACAAGAATTTAATTTATTTTTCCCTAATGTTTGTCATATAATTACTAAACTTTATTGTATGCTTTTTATATTATTTACTGAAAGAGGTGATCATTTCTGGCAAATTTCTGGATTTTTCTATTTCTCCTTTAAGTTCATTAAATTTTGCTTTTTATAGTTAGAAGCTATGTTATTAGTTGCATACAGATTTCAAATTATTTTCTCTCCTATTTAACTCACATTTTTATCAGACCATAACCCTATTAATCCAAAATAATTTGTATGGCTTCAACAGTATATTAACAATATAAAATGCAAGTTTTCTTTTTATTAGTGTTTCTAATCCAATCTCTTCATTTTAAATTCTGCGTATCCACCTATTTAATTTGTTCATTGAAATATATAGTTATTTTAAATTAATCCTTGATTTTTATATTTCTATTACACTATTTAGTCTATATAAATATATCTCTATATACCCCATACCTATGCATATATAATGTATTTTGTGCATATGCACACATCACATATTTAATATATACAGATATATTCTCTATTTTTTCTTTTCTCCAGCTTTCTTGTATTATTTTTAAATGTTATTTTATATTCCTCACCATTAACTTGTTAATTAAATATTATTTTACTCTTATATGTGTTTACCTGAGAGATTTCAATAGGCTTTGCTGATTTATTAAAATATTATATAAAATGGCACTTCACTTTATGAACAATGCATAGATTAATTAACATATTGCCAGTATATGTTGCTATTTTATGTATTAATTTCATATATAATTTGGCCTCTCAATATGGCATCTTTGTATACAGTCAGTTATCAGTAAGATATTCTACCATGTTTACCACTCTCCTCATTTTACCTTTTCTTATAATTTCTTCCCGGATCATAAGCCTTCTAAATGGAATCATTTCTTTAGTTTGAAGAATTGCTTATAACTACTGTTGAATACATTCTCACTGTTTAATTTTTTTCTAGAAAGGTCTCCTTTTTTGAAATACATTGTAACTGGATATTGATTCTATATTTGCAGTTACTTCCTTAGAAGATTTTCATATGATATGGCATTTTTTGTTGGCTTCCATTTCTCCCATTGACAAGTTAGCTGCTATTTTAATTTTTATTTCTTTGCACATAATGACTCCTTTTTGCTGTGGCTGCTTTAAAAATTCCTATCTTTATTTGAGTTTAAAAAGTATGATATAACTTTGTGTGTGTGTGTGTGTGTGTGTGTGTGTGTTTTAATGCTCCTAAATTTTATAGTGGTTCTTTAAATACTTGTCTATATATTTTATTCATTTTAAAATGTTCTTATTTGTTATTTTTTCAAATTTACTCCTGCCTACATTCCGTCTTCTCCTTTGGGAACTCTAATTGCATTAATATTAGACATTTTAAACATTTTATATTTCTTAGTTCTTTATCCAAATATTTCATCATTTCTTCTTTCCAAACTTCAGTGGAGATATTTTCCTTTGACTTCTCATACAGTTTACTAACTTTCTCCCTAGTTGGGTTTAATCTACTATTAAAACCACTCATAAAGCTCTTAATTTTAGATTTTTCAGTTTTGTAATTTATATTGGAATTATTTTAAGTGGCCATTTATTTACCCCAATTTTCTTTAAGAGAAATATAATTTCTGAAATATTTAAATTGCATTGAAATTAGATTTTTTTTACAATTAAAGTTATATTTATTTCCTGTGAGTATCTTTCTTTGCATTGTCTATTTTGGTTATTGCTTTTTGGAAACATTGTTTTTCTTTGTGCCTTGTTATTTTTTATTATGTTCAAGATATTGTGTTCTCTTTGTGAATGTAGTTTTCTGAAGAATTTACATGTATTATTTTTTACATATTTGTTATTATTTTCTGGCTGTTCTTAACAGGATGTTTAAATATATAAAGCAGGATATCTCTCAGATATATAGGTTTTTAAATATTTAAATAACTATGTAATTATCATTGCTTTGAGATACTTTAGCTTTCTCAGCATTTGAAGCAGTATAATATAAAATTCAGAATGTCATTATGCAAATAATGTTCTGTATTAGTAAGTATTAATTAGTGAGTTGCAGTGAAAGAGAAGGTTATAGAAGAGAACATTTGAAAATATTGGGGCAGGCAAACTGAAACGAACTTACTTTGTTATTTATTTTCTGTGAGCTATTAACATAGAAATGACTTTTTGAATCTCCAAGAAAGGTATAAGTTATCAGACATTGTTAACTTATTTGCTAACAAAACTTTATACTAATAGAAAACCTTACAAGATGAAATTCTATGCCATACACTTTGAGTATTAGACTTAGATGAACTTGAGATAACTTCCATCACTTCCATTATGTGAATTGAAATAATTAAATTTAAGATCAAATAAAGGGTCTTGTTAGCAACTGTCTTCTAGTGTATGAACAGTGTTTCAAAGGAAGATACTGACCATCTGTTCTCTTGTTCCACTGAGAATAAAACAAAAGCACGTGAAACTTATGTTTGAGAAAGGGAGATTCAGGCTAGATGTAAGAAACAACTTATTGACATTAAGGGTTGTTCAAACACAAAAAATTCACTACCAAGGGAATGTATATATATTTTTTCTCTGAACATCAGTAAGAATAAGGCAGACAACCATCTGTCGTAGTGGCTGAGTTCGTAGTCCTACCTGAAAGCACAGCACTGAATTATAAAGCCTCTGGAGATAACTTCCATTTTATAAAGATGTACACAACTTGGAAATGACAGAGATTAAAAACTATAATTTAAAAGGATATACTCTAAGAAGAGCCCTGGCACCAAAAAGAAATAAAAATAAATGTTTAATGAAGTTTTAATTAAGATTTATGTTAATAGATTTAAAATTAAAATGGTAAATTTCTCTCTTGTGTTCTGTAGACTTACTGTGTTTTAATCCCTTTGTATTGTCTATTTTTAGCTTTTTTATATTCAGTCTCCTTTGTTTTACTGCTTTATTTATTTTATTCTAAATAAGCTTTATTAACATATAATTCTCATGCAGAAAAGGCATATATTTTAAGCCTATCATTCAAAGATTTTCAGAAACTAGTAACACATGTAACTAGTATCTAAAACATAGCAAGCATTTTATGAAGAAACCCTGGGAAGTTTTTTTCTCACAGTCTTATTAACCACTAACCTCCAGGCAGCTAACAATCTGATTTAGATCACTATATCTTTATTTGACTATCCATTAATCTATTGATGGGAATGTGGGTTATTTTCTGTTCTTGTCTATCACAGGTAAATCAACTCTAAATATATTTATTGTAGAAATAATTTTGCACATATTTTGTCTTGACTTAATCTGATGTCTAGGAGTGGAACTGCCATTGAATTCAGTTTGCTAGTGTTTTTTGGGAATTTTTGCACCTGTGTTTATCAGGGATATTGATTTGTAGTTTTTTGTGTTTTTTTTAGTTATGTCCTCATCTGGTTTTGGCATCTGGGTAATTCTGGCCTCATATAATAAGTTAGTAAGAATTCTCTCACTTCCAATATTTTGGAATAGTCTTCTTTAAAGTCTGGTAGAATTCAGCACTAACGCCATTCAGTCCTGGGTTTTTATGATGTTGTTCTTTTTATTACTAATTAAATCTTGTTACTGGTTATTGGTCTGTTTGGGTTTTTTAAATTTTTTCTTGGTTTAATTTTGGTAGGTTGTATGTGTCCAGTAATTTGTCCATTTCTTTTGTTTTCCAATTTTGGGGCATACAGTTGTCTATAGCTACTCTCCTGTAGCAAGAATGGTAGGCTTCTGTGGTAGGAATGTGAACTGCTGAAGATCTCCAGCCTACCTGTTTCCCACAATGTGGAGTCCCTCTTAATTCAGAGCCGATCTTAGCCAGGTCCTTTGTTTCCCTCTCTATGCTGTAATCCAGAGTCTGTGTGCCTCAGAGGGTCTCCATCAATTCTTTGCTGAATTTGAGTGTTCTCCCCTAGATATTTTATGTGATGTGTGGCTATCTATTTGTGGTTTTGGTCTTCCTTTGTGGTGGAGTCAATAGTTGGGTAAGTTCACAGTCCTTAACATTCTTTAACTGTAGCAATTTCCATGAGAGATTGAGGGTGAAGGTGAATAGGAGTGAAGGTGGATAATAGATTTATATCAATAATAGATTCAGTAGAAGAGGCCATACCAATGAAGGTTTGTAGAAGCCTGAAGGGAAACACTCATTGCCAGGCATGGGTAAGGGTATTGGTTGTGGCACCCTCAGACCCAAAACTAGAGCAATTTTTGTTTCCTCTTTATCCTGGTGTCAAGGATTGTGAGGATAATTCATTGTGAAGATAAAATAACCAAGTCTCTAGGGTATCTCCTGACTCTTGGGCAAAGCAATTTCAAAAGGTGCCATATTCATCTCATTAAAGACACAAGTCTCAGTGACTTTCTGTGTCACAGGCTGCCATTAGTATGAGGGACCTGCAAAAAGCCAACAGTAGTCATTGGGGGCAACTCAACTTACAAGGTCTTTAACAATTTTGGGTTTTGTTGCTGGAACCATAACCAGTAGGTATAATGTTGCTTCCCTAGCTTTCTTAGGACTTGTTTGATGTCTAATTTGACACAATAGATAAGCTCAGCTGAGGAGTCATGGGCTAAAGAGAAGGATCAATGGTCCTCATAAAAACTGAGCAGCTATGTAAACTGTCTCTTAACATTCTCCAAGTGTGCCCCATTATGTTCACTAGCACTTCTCAAGGCCCATTAGCAGGGTTAATGAAGTGCATTGTGGGGCCCTCAGCCTCTTGAAAATGATTCTCTAACACCTCTCAGAGAATGCTCCTTGAATTCAGGTAGCACCTCTCAAAAGTGTCCTGTGGCATCTTCAGGTTTTTTGCTTCTCCAGAAAATTATTGTGCTGAATTTACCCACCCTGCTCACTCTGCAAATCTGTTAGATTGCTGCCATGTGTGAAGGTCATTTATTAGGTCAAGTCAACTGAAAGTAACTGTGAAGTCTTTATTCACTTGCTGTAATAGTGTAAACAAGGGACCAAAAAAAAAAAAAAAGTGGTGACAACTCTTCCAATGTTCCATTTTCCCCATGCAATGGCACAGATCAAGGGTAAGATAGGTCCAAGAAGCTCGTGCAGGGAGTAGGAATTTTCTCACTGTTGAGGGAGCCCAACAGTTTCTGCTATGTTATGGTGAGAGCTCAATAGTTTCTGCCATTTTATGGAGGCAGTGATGGGAAAATGTGGGGGAAGGGTACAACTAAGAAGATAAAAGTACTGAATCAGGTAAAGAAAGTGTCTTCAAGGCTCATGAAGAGAAGGCCTTGGAATGAAAGGTGCCTAGCTTAGAAATACAGGTGGGCACATAAGCATGGCTGGGTCAGAAAGGAGTGTTGGGGCTGAGTTCTTGTGTGCAAATCCTTCCAGAAACTGCATTGCACTGCCTGTTGGAATCATACAATGTAGATTTTTCACAAGATTTTTGGTTGATTCATTGGGATTTTTTACATAGACAATCATGTAATATATTAAATAAAATTTTATTTCTTCCTTTTCAATGTGTATACCTTTTAAAAACGTGTATACCATTTATTACACTTTCTCATTGCATTAGCTAAGACTTCCAGTATGATGTTAAACGGGAGTGGTGAGAAGAGACATCTTTGCCTTGAACTTAAAAAGAAAGCATCAAATTTTTCACCATTAAGTTTGGCATCTGTAATTACTTTTGGGAAATTCTCATCCATTATTGCTTCAAATATTTCTTCTGCTCTTTTCACACTATTCTTTTTCTGATATTCTGATTATACGTATGTTATGCTGTATTTAATTGGCCTATATTTATTGGATATTAAGTGGTTTTTTAATTCTGTTTTACTTTGCATTTCTGTGTGTAAAGTTTTTCTTGCTATACTTTCAATCTCACTGATTCTTTCCTTAGCTGTAAGGAAAGATGAGCTTACAGTAAACTGATGAGCTCATCAAAGGCATTCTTCAATTCTGATAACACTGTTTTAGATTTCCTTTTGATTCTTTCTCAGAATTTCTTTCTCTTTGCCTTCATTACCAATCTGTTCTTGTATGTTATCTATTTCTTCCTTAAGAATCTTTAATACATTATTCATAGTTATTTTACATTTTCTATTTGATAATTTTAAAATCTATATCTTATCCGAGTATAGTTCTAATGCTTACTTTATCTTTAAAAAAGTCATTTTTCTTACTTGTTGGCATGCTTTGCAATATTTTAAAGAAACTTTTGATACATAATGGTTGTACATATTTATGAAGTATATGTAATATTTTGATACATGCATACAATGTGTAATGATTGATGGGATAATTGGTATATCTTTAACCTCAGACATTTATCATTTGTTTGTGATAGGAACATGAAAACTGGATATGTAATTTGGTAAAGGAATTGAAGTAAGCAAGTCTTTTCTTTGAATTCTTATTAATGTTTGTTGAAAAGTAGGCTGTGTTTCAGAGGCTTTATCTTCCTCTATGTATTCTTTTTAAATTTTTTAAATTTTTTTATTTTAATAGGTTTATGGGGAACAGGTGGTGTTTGGTTACATGAATAAGTTTTTCAGTGGTGATTTCTGAGATTTTGGTGCAACCATTACCCAAGCAGCTTACACTGTATTCAAAGTGAACTCTTTTGTCCCTCACCATCCCCACCCTTTTCCCTGAGTCCCCAAAGTCCAATGTACCATTGTTATGCCTATGTGTCCTCACAGCTTACCTCCCACATATGAGTGAGAACAAACCATGTTTGCTTTCCATTCCTGAGTTACTTTATTTAGAATAATTTTCATCCAGGTTGCTGCAAATGCCATTATTTTGTTCCTTTTTATGCCTGAGTAGTATTCCTTTGTGTATATATATATATATATACCACATTTTCATTATCCACTTGTTGATTGATGGGCATTTGGGCTGGTTCCATATTTTTGCAATTGCAAATTGTGTTACTATAAACATGCTTGTGCAAGTATGTTTTTTATATAATGACTTCTTTTCCTATGGGTAGATGCCTAGTAGCAGGATTGCTGGATCAAATGGTAGATCTGCTTTCAGTTCTTTAAGGAATTTCCACACTATTTGTCATAGTGGTTGTACTAGATAACATTTCCACCAGCAGTGTAGAATTGTTTCCTTTTCACTGCATTCATGGCAGCATCTATTATTTTTTGATTTTTCAATTATAGCCATTGCATTAGTCCATTTTCACACTGCTGATAAAGTCATACCTGAGACTGGGCAACTTACAAAGGAAAGAGGATAGAACTCACAGTTAATGGAGAACTCACAGTTCTGCGTGGCTGGGGAAGCCTCATAATAGTAGTGGAAGGCAAGGAGGAGCAAGTCACATCTTAGGTGGATGGCAGCAGGCAAAAAGAGAGCTTGTGCAGAAAAACTCCCAATTTTAAAACCATCAGATTTGGTGAGACTTATTCACTATCATGAGAGCAGCAAGGGCAAGACTTGCCCCCATGATTCAATTACCCACCACCGGGTCCCTACCACAGCTCATGCAAATTCAAGATGAGATTGGGGTGGGGACACAGCCAAACCATATTAGCCATTGTTGCAGGAATTAAGTGGTATCAAATTGTGGTTTTAATTTGCATTTCCTGAAAATTCATGATGTTCAGCATTTTTCCACGTGCTTGTCCATTTGTATATCTTCCATTGAGAGTTTGTCTATTCATGTCCTTAGCCCACTTTTTGATGGGATTGCTTGTTTTTTTTCTTGTTGATTTGTTTGAGTTCTTTGTAGATTCTGGATATTAGTTCTTTGTCAGATTACAGATTGTGAAGATTTTCTCCATCTCTGTGGATGGTCTGTTAACTCTACCGATTATTTATGTTGCCAGGCAGAAGCTTTTTAGTTTAACCAAGTCCCATCTATTTATCTTTGTTTGTGTTGCATTTGCTTTGGGTTTTTGATCATGAAGCCTTTGCTTAGCCAATGTCTAGAAGGATTTTTTTCTAATTTTATCTTCTAGAATCTTTATGGTTTCAGATATTAGATTTAAGTCTTTGATCTATCTCGAGTTGATTTTTTATATAGGGTAAGAGATGAGGATCCAGTTTCATTCTTCTACATGTGGCTTGCCAATTATCCCAGCCCAATTTGCTGAATAGGGTATATTTCCCCTACTTTATGTTTTTGTTTACTTTGTCAAAAATTAATTGGCTGTTAAGTGTTTGGCTTCATTTCTAGGTTCCCTATTCTGTTCCATTGGTCTATGGGCCTATTTTGATACCAGTACCATGCTGTTTTGGTGACTATGGACTTTTAGTATAGTTTGAAGTCAGGTAATTGGGTAATGTGATGCCTTCAGATTTGCTGCATTTTGCTTATTCTTGCTTTGGCTATGTGGATTCTTTCTCGGTTCCATATGAATTTTATGATTTTTTTTCTAGTGCTGTAAATAATGATGTTGGTATTTTGATGGGAATTGCATTCAATTTATAGATTGTTTTGGCTATATGGTCATTTTCACAATATTGATTCTACCCATCCGTGAGCATGGCATGCGTTTCCATTTATTTGTGTTGTCTATGATTTCTTTCAGCAGTGTATTGTAGTTTTTCTTACAGAGGTCTATCACATTCTTGGTTAGGTATAATTCTAAGTATTTAATTTTTTGGCTGCTATTGTGCAAGAGGTTGAGTTCTTGATTTGATTCTCAGCTTGGTCACTGTTGTTATATAGGAGAGCTACTAGTTTGTGTACATTAATTTTGTATCCTGGAACTTTGCTGAATTCATTTAACAGTTTTAGGAGCTTTTTGGGTGAGTTTGTAGGGTTTTCTAGATATAAAATCATATCATCAGCAAACAGCAATGGCATGGCTTCCTCTTTACTGATTTAGATACTCTTTATTTCTTTCTCTTGTCTGATTACTCTGGCTAGGACTTCCAGTAGTATGTTGAATAAAAGTGGTGAAAGTGGGCATCCTTGTCTTGTTCCAGATCTCAGGGGGAATGTTTTCAACTTTTCCCTGTTCAGTATGATTTCATCTGTGAGTTTGTCATAGATGGATTTTATTACTTTAAGTTATGTTCCTTCTATGCCAATTTTGCTGAGGGTTTTAATCATAAAGGGATGATGGATTTTGTCAAATGTTTTTTCTGCATCTATTGAGATGATCTGTGATTTCTGTTTTTCATTTTGTTTATGCATTTTATCACATTTATTGACTTACATATGTTAAACCATCCCTATATCCCTGGTATGCAACCCATTTGATCCTGGTTGACTATGTTTTTGATATGCTGTTGGATTTGGTTCACTATTATTTTATTGAGGATTTTTGCATTTTGTTCATAAGGGATATCAGTCTGTAGTTTTCTTTTTTTGTTATGTTTTTTCCTGATTTTGGTATTGGGGTGATACTAGCTTCAGAGAGTGATTTAAGGAGGATTCCCTCTTTTTCTATAATGTGAAATAGTGTCAATAGTATTAGTACCAATTTCGCTTTGAATGTTTAATAGGATTCAGTGTTTTCTGCTGGTTTACATTTCTATATAACTGGGCCTCACACAGAAAAGAAGCAGTAAACACTTCCATAAATAATGTGAACCTAAAATCACTTCTTCACAATATTCAATTCTATATTTGAATTTACAACTAGCTATTTACCTATATATGAATTCTTGAAATCATTTAGCCAAATATCTAGATCCTTTACTAAGCTTACTGGATATTTTTATCAAGATAGATATAATTACTTGTTTAAGAAAAACACCTATACCCTATGAGGAAGGTAAGGAAAAGTATAATCTTCCTCTATAAATATAGATTATTATTGTCCCTAGGGTTAATAAGAGAATCAATTCTACTCATAAGCATCTGTTCTTATAATGTATTCATGAAAAAAATTGTAATGTCTAAGGATATTTAAATTATGAAATCTCATATGTAATTCAACCAATACAACATTACATATCTTTGGTTTGGCTATTTTAATTATGAAATCTCATATGTAATTCAACCAATACAACATTACATATCTTTGGTTTGGCTATTTTTTTTCTTGTTCTGGATGTTTAAAAAGGGCCATGATTTAAAACATCCAGATATTTATTTTGTATTTCTTAAGAATGAATTCTCTGTAAACTTTAAGAGTAAAAAGTGAATATAATAAAATATAGAACACATTTATATTTTACAGTATTCAAGGTAGGGAGATTTAGTAGCTCATACCATTTTCTCTCACAAAATGCACATTTGCAGTATATCAAGTTTTTAATTGTTTAGGGAGACTAAATAAGGGATAAGCTAACAGTTTTAAATGGGTATAAAATGCTATGTAGATACCAACTTTAAAAATGAAGCTTTGATGTGTGTCTTCTTTTCATTTTTGCAATTAATTTTAGCTTTTGAAGCTATTTGGAATTCAATTTAAGCCCACAGAGTATAAAATTATGCATTAACTTGAAGATAGACCCATATTTAGCAAAAACAAGGTTGGAAGATCAACAGGATTCAAGACAAATGTTAATTTCAAATGTATAAACTCAACTTTACCAGGGCTTTTAAACCAACTAGCACATTTGTCCCTAATCAAAGGCTTTAATTTAATCATCAGAGACTGTAAGACACCTTTTAATTCTGCCTCTCATATAGGGCCGACTAGCATTTATTGTTATACCGTTTTAGCAAATACCCACAGATGAATCTAAAATTGAAATACAAAGACACTAAAGAGGTTTTATGTAAAATTTCCCTCTTTGAAGTTAATTGCGTTAGGAGTTGGGAAAAAGAAGTTAAAACAAAAGTTTTATACTTAGCATTTTTCTGCAATAAGAGGGAAGGGAGTTTCCAATGTGAAAATCCTCTATGTGCACCCAGTGTTAATATGATGTTCTAGATGCATATTCAAAATGAGCAATACCTTGCACAGATTAGTGACAAAGTGAAGTAAAACTGGATCCCTTATCCTTAGGTTTGTTTCCAATAGTGATCTTCCCTGCTACATTCTAACACATAAATTCTCATAGGCTGTGAAGTAGCAAAAAGACATCTTTGCATTGTCAATCTATTTGGTTAGTTTCATTATTGAATTAGATTGCCATATCTTTTATCTATCTATCCAAATATTAGATAATTAGTTATTTATTAGGCTATCCAATTATTAGACAATTAATTAAATTTGCAGTTGTAATCTGTGGAACCAATTTTACTCTCATCATATTGATTAGAATAAAGTCTTCAGTTTTATCAAAATATTGGAGAGTAAAATGCTAGTCAAAATTGTTTTACAAACATTCTTATTAATCATCAAATCATTAATATGAATATGTATTATATTTCCTATTATAAGGAAGGATATTTGTTCAACATGAGGCAGCTTCAAATGGTTGGCAATCAATGTTCTTGATTGCTGATGCACTGAATTTCTATAAGTGCAATCATTAGTGCTCCCATGAACTCTTACTAGTTTCCTCATCTTCTAACTCTACTGACATTTCCCTTGCTTTCCTATAAATTTTAGAATTGTTGAAGGTACCTTCAGAAACACCTTGAATCCAGTAGTGTTTTCAAGTGGGACAATGCTTTTATTGTATAAATCTATTTTAGAATTCTCCTTAAGGAACAAAGATTATTACCACACACACAAAAATAATGTTTTACATGAAGTATAATATCTAATGTATTTCAACAGGACTTGTATCTTGATTGATATAAAGATACTTTAGAATAGCATTACAAAAAGAAACCTCCAAGAACATGCTTCACTTAGCAGCTACAGTTTCAATTTCCTTTTCAACTATTTACATTTATGAATCTTGTAGAAAACAATAATTCTGCTCACATTTGCAGTGAGCTCTTTTATTCTTTAGTTACATTGGGTGAACAATGTTTTATGATTTCATCAGCCACTTGCATTTCCCGAATAAATGGAAAAGAGTACAAATGAGCAAACAGATAAAGAAAACGTAAACAGCACCAGAGGAAGTCATATGTTAAAGAATAAGCATGGATAAATAACATGAAAAATTCTTCAGGCTGCTCAATGCATTTACCTGAGGATGTTAGTAAATAGTTAACATATAATTCAATCACTTTTATGTTCGTGATGATAAAAACACATTTTGAAAAGTAAGATTATGCTTTGATTTTTTTGCCTTTAGTTTTATATAATTATGCTTTGGGGGACTTTTATTATTTGTGATATAAAAATATATATCTTTTTAATCTTAGTGTTTTATTTTACCATTTTATTTACTTGATGCTTATAAAATTTTTCCACTTATTAATCAAAAATTACTGTTTATTATATTGATTCTTTTTTAGACAATATTCTTCAGAGAAATACTTGATTATTCTTAGATTTATTCTAAATTATAAATGACTAATTTTTTACATTGTTTTAGAAGATAAATATGTATCATATTTAATATAAGCTACTGAAACTAATTATGTATATTTATAGCAAAATATTAACTCTAGAATTCAATTTTTAAAGTCAAAAGCATTAATTGAGAACATATTGTCTCACTGAAATAAGCAGTAAGGCCTAGACCATGAATGACAAATAAGAGAAATTCAATAAAATAATACATAGAAGTGTATTACATGAACTGCAAGAATGAAATATTAAGTAAAATTCCATTGTCATTTTATGTATTATTTGGTAAGTTTGCTTCCCAATGTATCTGAATAAATATTACCTATAGTATTTCCATTCTCTGTTTAACTAAGGTTGAAGTATAAATGTGACTTATTGGGTTCTGGTTAGGGAGCCCAGAAGCACTGCGCCCAGATTCTTAACAGATCTACTTTAGTTAGGACCCTTTTGGAAAACAGGACTATAAATAAAATTTTCTATATAATACATTGTTTTTGAATTTCTGGTTTACAAGTTGAGTTGCCTAATTTTGTTTATCTAGTCATGTTTCTTATTTTCAAGCCACAGACTTCCTTTTAACACACACTGCAATAAAACTGACTAAAGAATTCCAAAGAGTTAATGTTGTTCAAAAAATATTCTGAAGGCTTTCTTGGTATATTTATATCCTCAATATATAAATATACGAGAATTAACATAAAATAGTCTCTAACTTGCAATACAAACTGCTAAAAATAAAAATGGAATGTACAATGTATAATGATATAAGTTCCAGCATGTATTATTAGTTTGATTTACTACTAAACCTCATCCTTTCTGCTCTTATTAATATTGTGTATAATATCCACTACATCTATTTAATACAAGATGAAACTTTAAATTCATGAATTTCAAATTAGAACTCATTTAAATCTCGTAGAATTACAAAAGAATGAGCCATAAGCCCAAGTCTTTCTAACTGGCCCACGAATAGCATTATCGTCGTTAATGGTCAGTCCACATAAGGTATGGAAATTTAATTATTCCCTTGAGTTCTTTATAGTTCAGGCATCCAGATGATAGGCTATAAAATAGACCATATTTGCTCTTTGCTGCAGATCTTTCTTCATTGTGATAGAGTTGGCCAAGAGTACCTATAGATATACTATTTTTCAAATCCAGATATTGTACAGTAAGTTTGCATACAAAAATATATATAATGTATCCTATCATAATTTTGAAAGACTTAAAATCCAGCACACCCTGATAAAAATAGAAATAGGTGAAATGCAAAAGGTGCTTTAGGAAGATAATAATTTATTCTAGTTGAGAATTACCCAAAGAATTTGCATAGCAAGCACAGAATGTTGTGAAAATTAAGTCAGTTTTATAGGCTACATAATTATTATTAGCATGCTATTATAGAGAACATTTCAGTACTTACTCAGTTGATTCTGTTTATTGTCTATTCCCACTGATACTGCAGCCATCTATGAAAGAGACTAAATCATTCAATATGGCTCTGGTCCTGCCACAGAAAATAGTTGCTGCCCAACAACACCCTTTTACAGAGGAGCTGGAAGAATTCTAAATGAGAAAGGTTTTTTTTTTGTTTTGTTTTGTTTTGGCAGCCTTTGCATTTGGCATAAAATAGGTGAATACCTTACAGTGGCTGATGCCTTGACGACCAGTCTTACAAATATCACACAGAACAATCTCTCTGGACAGAAAAAGGGCATGTAAATTAGCACCTCTATGGAAAACTGTATGGAGATTTCTTGATTTCTCAAAGAACTAAAAATAGAACTACCATTTAATCTAGCAATTCAACTATTGGGTATCCACCCAAAGGAAAAGAAATCAATATACAAAAAAGCCACCTGCACTTGTTTGTTTATCTCAGCACTATTCATAATAGCAAAGTCATGAAATCAACCTAAATATCTATCGATGGATAACTGGATACAGAAAATGGGATATGTATATACACACACATATATATACACACACATATACATATATATGTGTATATATAATATAGATACACACATATACATATGTATGTGTATATATAATATAGATACACACATATACATATGTATGTGTATATATAATATAGATACACACATATACATATGTATGTGTATATATAATATAGATACACACATATACATATGTATGTGTATATATAATATAGATACACACATATACATATGTATGTGTATATATAATATAGATACACACATATACATATGTATGTGTATATATAATATAGATACACACATATACATATGTATGTGTATATATAATATAGATACACACATATACATATGTATGTGTATATATAATATAGATACACACATATACATATGTATGTGTATATATAATATAGATACACACATATACATATGTATGTGTATATATAATATAGATACACACATATACATATGTATGTGTATATATAATATAGATACACACATATACATATGTATGTGTATATATAATATAGATACACACATATACATATGTATGTGTATATATAATATAGATACACACATATACATATGTATGTGTATATATAATATAGATACACACATATACATATGTATGTGTATATATAATATAGATACACACATATACATATGTATGTGTATATATAATATAGATACACACATATACATATGTATGTGTATATATAATATAGATACACACATATACATATGTATGTGTATATATAATATAGATACACACACATATACATATGTATGTGTATATATAATATAGATACACACACATATACATATGTATGTGTATATATAATATAGATACACACACATATACATATGTATGTGTATATATTATATAGATACACACACATATACATATGTATGTGTATATATTATATAGATACACACATATACATATGTATGTGTATATATAATATAGATACACACATATACATATGTATGTGTATATATAATATAGATACACACATATACATATGTATGTGTATATATAATATAGATACACACATATACATATGTATGTGTATATATAATATAGATACACACATATACATATGTATGTGTATATATAATATAGATACACACATATACATATGTATGTGTATATATAATATAGATACACACACATATACATATGTATGTGTATATATAATATAGATACACACACATATACATATGTATGTGTATATATAATATAGATACACACACATATACATATGTATGTGTATATATTATATAGATACACACACATATACATATGTATGTGTATATATTATATAGATACACACATATACATATGTATGTGTATATATAATATATACACACACATATACATATGTATGTGTATATATAATATATACACACACATATACATATGTATGTGTATATATAATATATACACACACATATACATATGTATGTGTATATATAATATATACACACATATACATATATATGTGTGTATATATTATATATACACACATATACATATATATGTGTATATATAATATATATACACACACATATACACATATACATATATTCTTAGATATATATGTATATGTGTGCATATATATGTATATATGTGTATATATACACATATATACATATATAGTTAGATATATATGTATATTCTTATATATGTATATATATCTTAGATATATGTGTATATATATATACATATATGTATATGTATATATGTATATATGTGTGTGTGTATGTATATATATATATATGGAGAGAATACTATGAAGCAATAAAAAATAATAAAATCGTAGCTTTTGCAGCACTATGGATGGAGCTCGAGGCCACTATTCTAGTGAAATAATTCAGAAACAAAAAGTCAAATGCTACATGTTCTCTCTCATAAGTAGAACATAAACAATGAGTCCAGATGGACATACAGAGTGGAATAACATACATGAGAGGCTCCAAAACCTGTGAGGGTGGGAGGAGAAAAGTTTGAAAAATTACCTTTTGGGTACAATGTTTATTATTCCCATGATGGATACACTGGAAACCCAGACTTCACTACTAGGCAATATTGCCATGTAACAAAACTCCATTTACTCCCCTTAAACTTTTTTTTATTTTTTTAAGTGTAGAGAAATGCTGTCAATACAAACTCACCCCAGGGGAGACAAGGCCCCAAACTTTAATTGTCATGTGGAAATATTGTTGTTCAGATAGCTGGGTATAACAATACACAAATATTGCTTCCACTTAAATTTTGTTTAACTGACAGAATATTTTAGTTGAAGTTGAATTAAATCGCATTAAAGAAAACATTATATACAAACTAAACATCTTTACCAATAATATAACCAGAAAACTGCCAATAATATTTGCTGCAATTCTGTTTTTAATACCCAAATTTTCATTACCACAGAAGTGGATAAAATTTTGCCAAGTATAATTTCACGAACTGCTTCTTTTTGGGTCCTTTAGAGTATCCCCCCCCCTCTCTCTTTTACATTCCCTTGATCCTTAATCATCTTCTTTTCCTTTTACTAAAATAAAACAAACAAACAAACAAAAATATCCATTAAACCAAAAAAAAAATCTTTTTTTACAAAATAATTTATACTTATTTTTGTGAAATCAGAAAGTTTGTAAAACAATGAAGAAAAACTAAAGAAAAAAGGATATATATATATATATGCACACACACACATACGCACACACACACATATATATGTGATCCTTGAACAACATGAGTTTCAACTGTGTGAGTTCACTTATAAGTGTTTTTTTTTTCCCAACAAATACAGGCCACTCTCTGTATCTGGGGTTCCTCCTCCACAAGCAAAGGCAGATAGAAAATACAGTACTCGTCGGCTTTTCATTCTGCAAATATAGAGGGTTGACTTTTCCATAAGTGGGTTCTGCAAGGCTGACTTCAGAGTGGGCTTGATTATGTACAGATTTTGGTAATCTGGTGGAGTCCTGGAACCAATACCTCTCAAATACAGAGGCACCACTCTGTGTGTGTGTGTGTGTGTGTGTGTGTGTGTGTGTGTGTGTGTGTGTATCAGTATGCAGAGATAAGAATTATCAAGTTGTGAATACCTTATAAACTTAAAATTATGCCTATTTGCAAATCTGTTATGTGACTCTCATTAGTGCACATATTTTGTTCCTTGCATTTGCAGAGATGCTTTGTTCTATACTTTTGCAGAGATAGTATTTTGGAAATACTATGATGTTTAGTCGCTTTCATTATCTATTATAGATAGCAATATAGTTATTGCCATCTATAACAGAAAATAATCAAACTTGGACAATCTATCTATTGGGTGCAATGTAAAATATTTGGGTGATGGGTACACTAAAAGCCCAGACTTCACCACTACATGATATATCCATGTTACAAAACTGCATTTGTACTCTTTAATCTATGAAAATGGCTTTAAAAAAGAAAGCACAAGAAAATGTTCTGGGTGATAACTTTATCCTATTACTGTTTTATGTGGGTTACGGGGCCATAATATTTTCCAAAACATGTTCTCTTCTACATTTGATATTATTACATGTTTCTGTTGTTAAATAAAACCTCATTAAAGTTTTTTAAAAAATTATAGCGCGTAAGACAGCGAACTGTCTTTTAGTTACACTTTAAAAAATACCCACTGCCATTGCTTTTCTACCTTGATATTCTCCATCTGTGTAATCAGTCCTTTACACTGGTTCCCGTCTCTGTACTGAAATGGCACGGTTCAATGAGTTTATAGTCAACTTCACCTGTTGGCAGGAAAATAATAAATTTAGACTGAGTGTAGCCTGAAAAAAAGCTCCCAGCCATGCTGAAGCCATTGATTTAGTGATACTTCATATGTCACATTACACATAATCAAACATCCCTGCTGGCTATAGCAGCCCATGACTCTGCCACTCAAGAATTCCTTATGTGTTGTGTAAAAACATCATGAATTATTTGCAGTAATTTTGTCCTATCTATGCTTCTGCCATTGCTATCCCAAAATGATTAATGTTGCTTCTATTGAGGGTATGGTCTGAAACTTCAGTCTAGGATTGCCATTTGAGTCTGAGGAAAAAAAAAAGTGTTTTTTTTTTTATGTTTTAAATATTATGTTATCCAATTGCTTAGGTAATGTTTAACTAAGTTAATTAGATTTTGGAGAATATTAGAATAAATTGGACATTGGTGGTTCATAGACAATAGACACCATGAATACAAAATCACCAGTGTTAAAAATGTAAATTGTGGGAGAGGTGTATATTTTTCTACTTTTGAGTATCACCTAAGTTGCAAAGTTGACAATACTTGAATGATACTGTGTTTTTATGATGATATAAATTCCACCAGATACTTTTTACTATTAACCTTAGAGCACAACTGGAGTCTTCAAGTTGAAAAAGTAACTCACTGAGCCATAGGGCTCTGGGAACTGGTTGGTCATAAGAAAGAGCATGGATAGTGTATGGATGAATTCAAAAGAGAGGAGTCATACATACTCTGTGCAACACTCTGGACCACTTTGTTTATTCACCAAAAAGGCTATTCAAGTCTGTGATTTCTGTCATGGGTAGCAACTATCTGGGGCCAGTGTCATAGGCAGTAATGGAATTTACCAAGACAGTTGTAGGTAAAGAAAGACATATTTATTAAAGAAGGTATGAAAATGCATTGCAGGACTGCAATGGGGAGCACAGCAGAGAAGGGGATGTCTACAAAAAGAGAACGGCTGGAAGGAAGTTTACAGGGTTGTGTGGGTGGCAGCTACGTGCAGAATGAGGTCTTGCTGCTGGGGCCATGCATGGAAGGATGTCATTTTGCCCACGGGTTGTTTGTGATTAGTCATCTTTCAGAACAATTGTTCATTGTTCTTCTCACTTGGGGTCACCCCCAACCTGGGACCCTTCCTTGTTGTTGCCTACTTATCTTAATTGCCAGGACTCCAAAACTTCCTTTTCATTTCCGCCACTACTGTGCTGTGTACGCTCTTATGCTCTCAGTTCTGGTCTTCTGGAATATGTTATTAAGGTATGTTCTTGCCCTCAAAGTCTCTATTACTTACTTATTCTAACTAAAGCCATTCTACATACAATAACAAAAATTATCTTCTAAAGCAGACTTCAATCTATTTTCTAGTTCAGAACAGTCCCCAGAAGTTTACAAGAGCTTGGATTCCTCATGAAAATGATGACATTTTAAAATCTGTTAATTTCCTATCTGTGAAGCATTATCTCAACTATTCCTTTCATCAAACCTCCCTCACACTGGGAAGTCTGTCTTTCCCTGCACAATATATGCAGTTTCACGACACTTTTAGGAAACTCTGTTTTTTTTTTTTATTTCATTTTTCCCATTCATCAAGTGCTCAACAACAAATGTGTCCTATTCTTCATAACTTTATTTTCTCAACCTGAAGTAATCTCATTCTCATTTTAATTTTCTCATAGCATTTCTCTTTGAACAAATCTGAATCTATTACATTAAATTTTTTGGATTTGCTTTGGTTTAGTTCACGTATTTTAACAACTCACTGAGAGCAAGCACCACGCATGTTCATCTTTGAATCTTTGAAGTCTGTTGTTATACCCTGAACCTCTTTGCTCAATTAATTTTTGTTGACTTGGAAATGAATGGTATTTTACCATATTAATAATTTGATTAATCCTAAAGATTTCCAGATATAAAGATACGTTTCATAAGATTCTGTAGTAAAACTTATATTTTTATTGCCATTTTGTAATGTAGTTTATTTGCAAGCTAAAAATAAGTATTTCGAAAGAAAAAAGATGGCCAATTCTGAGTGTACGGTATAATGAAATATATGAAGTGATATAAAGCTTTTAAGTGTATAAAATTTAATACTTTAATAAAACATTATTATAGACTTCATTTTAAGTAATGCAATTTAAAATATATTTTCTAAGTTTTTTTTCATTGTTTTAAAAATAAATGCCAAATATCTGTTAGCTTTTTTTATAGCTCACTGTTTTATTCTCTACTTTTTCTGGGTGTCAGGATGTCTATCAGCTTGCTTGTTAAAATTCACCACATGACTAACTTTCCTTATCTAATACACAGTCTGCATATGGTGATGATATTTGTGGGAAATGCCTGAAACATATTCCACCTCGCCCTCCCACCCTTATGTTACTGAGTCCTTCAAATAACATGATAGCCAGAGCTGAAGAACAATGCAACAGATGCTCCCCCTCAGAAACTAACTAAAAGGAAAAGATTCTAAAATACCGTCAGTGATACAATCTCAATTTATATTCAAATTAATCACAATTTATGTCCAAAATAATCATCATACTAATTAATAATTACATCATATGAAAATGGTGCAAATAGAGAAACAACAAGCAATTTCTCATTTTAGATGGAGATCCATGCATTTTGCAGTCCCAGGACTTAAGTCGGAATTGTGATAGCTGGCAGTTTAGTGCAAAATTCCGGGCAGAGAGAATAGGAGCAAAATTTAGAGAACTGCCTCAAAAGATTGTGCTAAAAACTAATATACTTGGAAGAAAGTGAAATGGAAATACTATGATCAAAAGCACACATTTTAAGCAGAAACATGGAATAAGTTATTTAAGGTAAGTAATATATATTAGAATATTATTTTATTCATTCCATCTTTAGTTTATTCACTTAACAAACGTTTACTGATTATCATATTCTAAGCACCATGCCAGTTGCCAGCATAACTAATGCGAAAGAGATGTGTCAGTACCTCTTTGAATCTCATAGTTGAATGTAAAATATAAATATAATAAAAATACAGGAAATTTTGGTACAAAATGTTTAGAATGAAATATAAACACACAGAGTGAAGAAGGGGAGAGAGAGAGACAGAGAGAGGAAGGAGAATGATGAAGAGGGGAGGGAAGGAAAGAGGAGGGCTGGAGAGTACAAGAGAGAAGAGGAGAGGAGAGAATAATTAGAATATTATCTTGAGGGTGGCCAAAGGTATAAAATCTACAGAACTTTAAAGAATTGAAATATTGAAAATATTTGCCTACAGATGAGGAAGAGAGGAATCAGTGGACAGATTCAAGAAATATGCAGCACTTACTTGTCTCTTGAATGATAGATATGAGCTTGCCAATTGGATAAGGGAAGATGAACATTTCAGACAAAACATACTGCACATTCTTGACATTATCACAGAGTTCGAATGTAGAAAAGTGCATATATAATTTGTTCATATGTGCAAAAATGTGCTACATTTGTATCACCATCTTATGCTTATTAAAATATTTAATTTCTATTGAACAATTTATTTATCTAGCATCTCTCAGTTACCTGCTCTTGTTTCTGTGTACTGATTTTACTATGCTAGGCAGGGCTAGCAAGTTGCAAATTGCATTTCTCAGGCTTCTTTGCCAAATGGCTTCTATTTAAAAGAAGTACACTATTGAAAACAAAGAAACTAATGATGCAAGCAAAAGGACATGTAATCTCAAAGCATTATCTTAAATGAAAAACATCAGACTCAAAGTTTACATACTACATGATTCTAGTCATGACATTCTGGAAAAGGCAAAAAGTGGTGGTGGGATGGGGATGGAATGAAGAGAAGATTAGTGATTGCCAGAGACTTGGTGTAAGGTTAGGCTTGAACTAAAACAAGGAGCAGCGTAAAGAGATTTTGGATCCAAGAGAATTGTCCTCTAAGATGAATTTGTTGGTGGTAGCACTATTTTAGGCATGTGTCAAAATTTACAATATTGGGCAACAAAAGAGTAAATTTTCTTTCATCTAAATTTTTTAAAAAGCTAAATAAAATTAAAACGATCAGTGTATACTTGTTCATTGTAAAGGCTGGTTCAACTTGGAATATGTTTAAATTTGTGTAATCATGTAATGAAATGTTTAGAATGAAATATACTCAGAGTCTAGAAGGGGAGAGAGAGATGGAGAGAGGAAGGAGAATGAGGAGGAGTGGAGGGAAGAAACTGGAGGCCTGGAAAGTACAAGAGAGAAGAGGAGAGGAGAGGAGAGAATGATTAGAATATTATCTTGAGGGTGGCCAAAGGTATAAAATCTACAGAATTTTAAAGAATTGGGTGATGCTATAGTTGCAGAACAGCTTGCTTATTCTGTTTCCATTTTTTTCTATATTTACTGCATTTGAGAAGTTATATCTGTGGCTCATGATGAGATATTCTACCCAGATTTCCCATTAAGTCCTCAGTGAAATTGATGTTACTTAACAGGAATTGCTTCTCCCAGGGCCCCTTCTCTTTACCAAGTTCAACTCATCCAATGGCTTCTTAACATAATATGAATGTCTAGTCTCCTCATCCCAACTTGAGATAATTCTGAATGGCCATCCTAGTTTCAGAGGAAGAAGCTGAGGTCTTCATTGAGATTACAGCATCATCCAGTTTCTTGCTCTGTCTAGTGCTGACTCCTTCCTTTTCTATTCCTTCTAAAGAAGGGAAGTACAGTAGCACTCCTTAATAAACTTCACACATACTAATCTAATCTCCATCTCAGATTCTACTTTCCTGCTAATCCAGTCTATGATAATTCCCAATCAAGAAAAATAAAGCTACTTCCCTTATAGTGAACTGAATAATTAAAAATATAGAGTTACTCTAAAAACAGTAAGAAGCAGAAGTTGGAGAATATCCCAAACTATATTTAAACAGCCACCCTTTTTAATAAATATTGTAAAAAAAAAAGTTAGCTTAATTTCATCCTCAAAAATTATCTTAGTTAATTCTCAAAATTTATTTCAATTATAAAATTATTCTTTTATTTATTTGTTTATTTATTTACATTTTGAGACAGAGTCTTGCTCTGTCACCCAGGCTAGAATACAGTGGCTCGATCTCAGCTCACTTTAACCTCTGCCTCCCCAGTTTAAGCAATTTTCCTGCCTCAGCCTCCCAAGTAGCTGGGATTACAGGCATGTGCTACCACACCCAGCTAATTTTTGTATTTTTAGTAGAGACAGGGTTTCACCATGTTGGCCAGGCTGGCCTTGAACTCCTGACCTCAAGTCATGTGCCCCTCTCGGCCTCCTAAAGTGCTGGGATTACAGGTGTGAGCCACGGTGCCTGGCCTGAAAAAAAAAATTATTCTTAATTGCAATTATGACTTTATTATAATTTTTTCCATAAGACTTTTTTTAAACAACAAAATATTATAGAATCAATTTCAGTGGATTGCAGCCTTAAATTTATTTCCTAAGAATACTCACAAAACATTGAATTTTTGCTCTAAGATATTACTATTGAAAACTTGTTTAAATTGCAATTTAAAATTTATTATTACTGCATAAAAATATTATGAAAAAATGTGAATAAATAATGTAAGTTACCTCAGCAAAATTTACAAGTATTAATTTTTTCTGTTAAGAAGAAAAAGTTAATGCCCTTAATATTTGGAGATTGGTTTATTGTAGTTGCAATATGAATGTTTATAAGCAAAGATTCTCAGTCTTAAAGAATGTATTATTTGAAGAGTTAAGACAGAAGAAAATGTCTGATTGTTCTGAATATTCACGATAAATAATTGAAATGTTAAAAAATGTTTACATAAAAATATCAATATATTGGATTATGAGTGGGGTAGGGCAGGGATAAGGAAAGAGACTAAAATAAATTACCCGGGCAAAGAAGAAACAAATTCATAAAGAGAGGTGGTAACACATTGTCAGGAGATAGCTTGAGGCAAAATAGGTGAAAATCACAAAGAGGCAAGAAGCACAGAAAGGGAAACAAAATTGCAGAGGAATAACAAAAGCAAAGACTTAATAGTTATTCTGCGTGGGACATGTTGACAGCATGCCAAAAGAATTAGGATCTCATCAGTCTGGAGGCCTAAAGACTGTAGAGTAGGAAAAAACAGATAAATGGAGTCTATAAAGAAAGTCAAGAGAACAAACTGATTTTGAAGGGAATATTATGTTCCTGCCAAAATCCCTTGACTCAAAAAAGAAAAGACAGATGATCCCTCCTGTTACATGACAGTTGGGTCATAATCTCTGTTTTATTCAGAGATAAGAATGAAAGTATTTTTAAGTCAATCCATAGAAGATCTAGGACACCATCTATCCATCAAGAGAAAGGTTGACCCTTTACTGAAAAAGAAGTCTTGAAACAGTAATCATGGACTATTTCTTTAGAATTAAAAAAAGTGAGAATAATGAAATAGTCCTGATAAATATTTATTTTATTTATGATTTAAGCAGTGCGTCTAAGCATTTGAATTATTGACTTGACCTCTTACATTTTCAAACGCAATAAAAGCTCTCTTAGCCGACTTTTATTTAACTGACTTACCTGATGAACTGACACTTTCCCTTAATACAGCTGACACCCATAACTCACCTATTCTCAAATAAATACATACATTTCTGCTCCCACCATTTTATGTTTACCAACTTTAGTTGTGTTTGTTCTCCAATTTATTTATCACACTAGTACCTAAAATTGTAACCACACAATATTGTATAATTGTGGTACTGTAAATATATACTAAGCTGAATAGAAAGAAAAGGATGTAAAGAATTGTTTTATGATTAAGTACATCAGTCCTAGACTGCAGTACCTTATGAGGATCATTCGCACTAAAGTCCATTAAAATGATGTGAAAACAGTATTATTATTATTACTCTCAAAATTTATATGAAAAGTAAAATAAACTTTCTTAAAAACTCACTTGTATCTAGTAAAAACATATTCAGTTCTCCTAGTTGCTAAGCTTTGTTACTTGGGCAGGTTACTTTACCTCTCTGAGTCTCTGTTCCCACAATATTTAATGAGAAGTGTTTTGCTCCAGTATGACTACAACTTTCATCTCCCTTCCTACATGCTCTTCTTACATTATTACTTAATCTTGCCCCTATGAAGCAGTGATTAAATATCCTGTTTCCTGGATCCTGAGTATGTCTTTGTGATTGCCACAGATACATAGAATGGTGAATGTGACCACTTGTGACTTCTAGGCTAGATCATAAAAGCCTCCAGCTGGTTCTTTTGGGAATCTTTCCTCCTGAAATCCAAAACATGTTGTGTGGAAGCCAACGCTAGCCCTGGCAAAAAAAAAAAAAAAAAAAAAGGAAAAAGAAAAAAAACAGTTAGGTCCATGTAAAGGGGAAATAAGCCCCTTGCTTTCAGCAGTGGCTGAACACTTAGCCAACAGTGAGCACCAATTGAGACAGCCATGTGTATGAGGTATCTGGGAATTAAATTCTTCAGTCCCCAGGCAAACTGTCCCAGTTGATGTTATATGAAGCAGAAATTAGCCTTCCATACCTATCTCTATTCAAACTGCAATTTCATGGAGCTTATAAATTATTGTTTTTATAGGTCACTATATTTCCAGATTTGTAATGCAAGAAAACTAAACTGAAGCCAAGAAAATAATCTTACATGCTCTTTAAGGTTGTTAATAATATTGATTATAATAATAAATGTTAAATTCACAGCACAGTGCCAATTACATTGTAAATACAGCACAGAGTGTTTCTTTACCCTTTTTATAGCTCTTGTTATGATAAACTCTAAACTTTATTCAATGGTGAGTATATTCATCTAGAACTTGGTTACTTTGCTAAATGGTTGTACAGATATTTGACTGACAGCTAACAGGATTTTAAAAAATTATCTCAAGGATCAGCATTATTCTGATAGCAAAATCTGAAAAAGATGATAAGAAAACTCATGGTCTCTTTACATGCAACGGCGGGTTATTTTGGCCAGAAAGGTTCACCTAGAAATAGACAATTTGCAACAATGACAATATGGGAGAAAGTTATTGCTCATTTAGTTATCAAATTTGCTAGCAAATAACAAATAAATTTAATTTTGGCTAATATACAAAATTCCAAAAAATTAATCATACATTTTTCTATTTAAAAAACTCATTAATAGTGTTATAAAAATCAAAAGAACACAATTAAATATGTGAGATATTATTGCATCAATTTAAATTACGTATTTTGAACCTACCTGTAAAGCTATGTTTTGTTGTATTTGAAGTTAGCTTTTGGGGCACAAAACCTTTTCACTTTCTTTTGTTTTAAAGATTAATATTTCATTTACTGAAATAAATTTTAAACAATGTTTTTAATTTTTAAATTAAATTTAAGTAACCTTATTATTCCCTATAAAACTCATAAATCTTTATATAACTTTGAGGAGTTTGCACTTGGGTAAATAAGTTTCCTTAAAAAATTTAAATTTAATTAAAATTATACATCATATATTCAATTTTCTTCTTCAATCTAGCAAATGTATAATTTAAATACTAGCACAGAATGTTTCTAAGACCCAACACAAGAACAGTGATGCTTTGTGTTTGAATCAAATTATTCATCATCATCATCATCATCTTCAATTCTTTTTTTTTTTTTTTTGAGACAGAGTTTCACTCTTTTTCCCCAGGCTGGAGTACAATGGCGTGATCTCGGCTCACTGCAACCTCTGCCTCCCGGGTTCAATAATTCTCCTGCCTCAGCCTCCCAAGTAGCTGGGATTACAGGCATGCACCACGACTCCTGGCCAATTTTTTTTTTGTATTTTTAGTAGAGATGGAATTTCACCATGTTGACCAGGCTGGTTTCGAACTCCTGACCTCAGGAGATCCACCTGCCTTAGCCTCCCAAAGTGCTGTGATTACAGGTGTGAGCCACTGCGCCCAGCCTGAACTTCAATTCTAAGCACCCAAATTTAAAGATGTCCACTAAGAAAATGGAAGTCACCATCCCAAAATTTTGTGGGATGATTTCTCTGTGGGCTGAAGTTGTTATTAGCCAAGATGGCATATCTAGAGAGAAACATTCAGCACAATTTTTATCTTTTTGTTTAAGTAGTATGCTGAAGAGACAAGAGTAGATAATTAAGATCTGCTAACCTCCACATAGGTTATTTTATCATTTCAATAGATTCAATTAATCTTCTTAATAGAGGACTATTTTGAATTCTATGTATATCTTTCCTGTAATGTTAGATCTTAACTTTTACAGACTTTAAAAATACACATAATTTAGGAATCTTTCACATTTTTGTCTGGTTTTACACTAAATATTTCTAATGCAACTTCATAGTACTCATTCAAACATCCTTGAAGCATTTAAAAAGGGAATACCTCAACTTACTTAAGAAAACTATTACAGCTATTAGGACTTAATAACTCTAATAGCTGTAAAAGCCTGTACACACAGAAACACACACACACACTCATGCACACACACACAGAGGAATGATCATGGTAGAAATATTCTCGACTCTTTTTGTATCATTTATGTGCGTGAGGCTGCTAGAAATAAAACAATAAATTGTCTAGGTATCCTACTTAAAGTTGTTGAATTGTTCAATATTTGAACTATGAATTGGGAAAAAAATCTCATAATTTATAAATTTTTAAATTAAATGAAACTCTCTTACTATGCTATAATATTGCTTCATTAAATGTATTCCCACTTACTGTTGGGATTTCTGCAAAGTCTTGTTGTTATAATATTTCAGTAAAGCATAAACAAATCTAATTTGGCAAATCATTTCTGTGCTATGGTAAGGCCTATCAGAGGAACTGCTAATTTATATTACCTACTGTACTAGCCAGGGTTTCCTACAGAGTCAGAACCAGTAGGATGGATATATGTATCCCATAGACAGATAGATAAATAGATGAGATGGAATTTATTAGTGGAACTGGCTCACATGATTACAGAGGCTGAGAAGTCTCACAATAGCCCATCTACATGCTGGAGAACCAGGGAAGCCGATAGCCTGTTTCAAAGTCCCCAAACCTCAAACCAGATGGCATAACTCTCAATCTAAGGCTAAGGGCCCAATAGCCCAGGGGGCTACAGGTGCAAATCCTACAGTCCAAAAGCCAGAGCATCTGGAGTTCCGACATCCAAAGGCAAGAAACAATGAGTGGCCGAGCTCCAGAAGACAGCAAAAATTTGCCCTTCCCCTGCCTTTTTGTGCTAGTCAGGCCCCCAGTCGATTGCCTAGTGCCTAGCCATATGGAGGGCAGATCTTCCCTACTCAGTCTACCAACTCAAATGCCAACATCCTCTGGAAGCACCCCTCACAGACACACTCAGAAATAATGCTTTCCAGTTATTGAATTATCCCTTAATCCAGTCAAGTTGACATGTAAAAATTAACTAGCACAGCTACCTAACATCCAGGGACTACACAAAATCTCTTTCTTAATAAGTAAGAAAGTTATTCTCTGTTTTGCTTAAATCATTCTTCTCTATTAGTATACTTTAAAATAGAAACTAGCAGTTTTATCAAAAGATTAATTAAAAAGTGCTGATAAGCGTGTATAAGTAATTCCTCAACAAAATTTACATATGAAAATTTCTTGATAAACAAATAATGATTACTCTTTCCTTGGAAAATAACATTATGCCAGCGAAAATCTATTTTACAGTGCATTTAGTTTTTACATTTAATTGTAAATTATTTAATTAAGTTCCTTATTATGAACACTTGAATATTTGGAGAATTTAATATTTTCTTTTGAAAATTCAACAAAATGTATTTTGGGAGTAAATAATCATATAAATATTTAAAATTTAAAGTATATAGCAGTATGATTATAATCATCATAGAAAACATAATTCTTTTATAATTTATTTTATGAGAAATGTATTGCCTTGAACATGACAGTCATTCTCTGAGGCAAAAATCCTTTGTCACATGTGAAATACTTAAAGCAAATAACCTGAATTATCTTCAACAAATGTCTTAAAAAGTGTTGTCTGCCCTTGGAGGTTAAATAAAACAGACAAAAACTGAATAAATGAGAGTTCATGCTGTTTCTTTACAATGTTACACATACTTCAAAATGATACATGATTTTGAAAAATAAAAACGTTAATGAACAGTTTTTGTTTTTACCTATATGTGTGTATGTCATTTATATAAAATAGCTGGTAGTATCATGTTATATGCAATATTCTATTTTTTCTCACTTAATGATACACAATGGTTCAAATTCTTAATTCACAACATCAAATATATTACCAAATAACTCACAAAAGGAAAAATAACTTAAGATATATGTTTAAATATATTCATACTTCTTACTTAACATCTTCTGTTCATTTGTTTATTCATTCAATTAACAAAATCTTTTTCCTTGTTAAATATCAAGGACATAATGGTGACAATATATGAATTTTAATAATGACTTTTGGGACGAATATATTTTTGAGCAAGCTTCCTTGCATTTCTATCCCAGCTCTACAATACTATATGTCATTGAAAAAACTATAGATCTTTGCTAAGCATATTATTTATCCTATATAATATGACATAAGTAATAGCATAGTCAGTTCTCCTATAATGCAATCTATGCATTTGGAAGAATTATAACAAAATGCAAAATCATGTGGTAATAACCATAAATGTTTGGAGAAAATTGGAACTAAGACATAACAGTTAAACACTTTTTTAGTGACACACAGAAATAAAAATAAAGAAAGCTACTAAAATATTAGCACAGTTTTACTCTTCTTAAGTTACTAAGATGCTACAGTAAATGTAGGACAGTATCTTGGGGGAAAAACAAGTTTGCTTGTGAAAGTGGAAGTTGGAATCATTACAGCTTAAGGTTGTACTTATCAGCAACTGAGAATTGGTAGAAGGAGGATTATCTGAAGGAGAGTTATTGATGTATTTCAAATGTAGAGAAGAACATTAGAAAATCTGTAGACATCAACCATACCTAGATATTCAAGAAATTCAATACAATATTTCAAAATTGGAGTTGAACAAGAGAAAATGGAAAGCCACTAAACAGTGAAATCACAAGGTTTCATTTTAACTTTAGAAAGACTACTAGATGTACAGTGAGAAAATTATATTGGTGTTAGAAATCATTATGATAGGAAGTCATATAAGAGAGATTATACAGGACTAAGCGAGATCATAAAACATTTAAATAAAGACAGCAACTGGGTGATAGATATCAGTGGAGGTATTTAAATAATGTTTAGAAAATATAAGAGTAGTTTTGATGGATGCTTTGATATAGCCTTGGGATAAAAAGATAGGATCAACAAAGAGGCAGAGTTTTTTTTGGCAACTGGGCATATAGTGGCCTCAAAGCAGACACAATAACTGATTTATTGAGAGTGGGATGGCATCATTTTTAAGTTCCCTGTGGGTCATCCATATAGAGTCTTCAAGGATACAATTGAATTAAAAAATACTAATCAGGAGAGTGGTGTGACAACAGTCAAGGTATGAAAAGCTGAGAAAGAATAACTAAGTTGCTTCTAATAGAGCAATTAGAAAAATGACTGAGGAGTTCACACTTAACTAGTAATACTGAAATCATTTTCAATTCTTGCAAAAATAATTTAAATTTGGGCGGCAGCACAGATCATAGAATATACGGAGTTGTGTAATAAGGTGAGGCAACAAGAAATGTAAAAGCTTTTTGAGTAATTATGATTGTTAGTATGAAGAGACATTATAGTTGGAGATAATTTGTTTTGTTGTCATTGCTGTTTTTGTTTATTTGTGTAATGGATTGATGTGTATCTCTTTATGTGTTAAAGGGAAGATGCCCCTAATGAGAAATAATTGATTATATATGAGAAAGTTTTGTCAGTGGTGTTCCAGAGTGGGGAAAAACAGTCCCAAAACACAAATAAAAAAATTACCTTTGACCTAAAAAGATATATGTCTTTTATTATAATTGGAGAAAGAGTGGAGAAAAGACACAATTATTTCACTGTTACAGTAGTATGAGATTGAAAGTAGTCTTTTCTGATTGCCTCACTTAAGAAAGGAGACTATATTAGCCCTTTGTCAGATGGATAGACTGCAAAAATTTTCTCCCATTCTGTAGGTTGCCTGTTAACTCTGATGATACTTTCTTTTGCTGTGAAGAAGTTCTTTAGTTTAATTAGATCCCATTTTTCAATTTTGGCTTTTGTTACCATTGCTTTTGCTGTTTCCGTCATGAAGTCTTTGCCCATGCCTATGTCCTGAATGGTATTGCCTAGGTTTTCTTCTAGGGTTTTTATGGTCTTATGTTTAAGTCTTTAATTGATCTTGAGTTAATTTTTGTAGAAGGTGTAAGGAAGGGATCCAGCTTCAGATTTCTGCATATGGCTAGCTAGTTTTCCCAACACCATTTATTAAATAGGGAATTCTTTCCCCATTGCTTGTTTTTGTTAGGTTTGTCAAAGATCAGATGGTTGTAGACGTGTGGTGTTATTTCTGAGGCCTCTGTTCTGTTCCATTGGTCTATATATCTGTTTTGGTACCAGTACCATGCTGTTTTGTTACTGTAGCCCTGTAGTATAGTTTGAAGTCAGGTAGCGTGATGCCTCCAGCTTTGTGCTTTTTACTTAGCATTGTCTTGGCTATGCGGGCTCTTTTTTGGTTCCAAGTGAAATTTAAAGTAGTTTTTTCCAATTCTGTGAATAAAGCCAATGATAGCTTGATGGGGATATCATTGAATCTATAAAATTACTTTGGGCAGTATGGCCATTTTTACGATATTGATTCTTTCTATCCATGAGCATGGAATGTTTTTCCATTTGTTTGTGTCCTCTCTTATTGCCTTGAGCAGTGGTTTGTAGTTCTCCTTGAAGAGGTCCTTCACTTCCCTTGTAAGTTGGATTCCTAGGCATTTTATTCTCTTTGTAGCAATTGTGAATGGGAGTTCACTTATGATTTGGCTCTCTGTTTGTCTGGTTTTGGTGTATAGGAATGTTTCTGATTTTTGCACATTGATTTGTATCCTGAGACTTTGCTGAAGTTTCTTATCAGTTTAAGGAGATTGTGGGTTGAGATGATGGGGTTTTCTAAATATACAATCATGTCATCTGGAAACAGAGACAATTTGACTTACCCTTTCCTAATCAAATACACTTTATTTCTTTCTCTTGTCTGTTTCTCCTGGCCAGAACTTCCAATACTATATTGAATAGGAGTGGTGAGAGAGAGCATCCTTGTCTTGTGCTGGTTTTCAAAGGGAATGCTTCCAGTTTTCGCCCATTCAGTATGATATTGGCTGTGGGTTTGTCATAAATAGCTCTTATTATTTTGAGATACGTTCCATCGATACTTAGTTTACTGACAGTTTTCAGCAGGAAGGGCTGTTGAATTTTGTCGAAGGCCTTTTCTGCATCTGTTGACATAATCATGGGATTTTTGTCATTGGTTCTATTTATGTGATGGATTACGCTTATTGATTTCCATATGTTGAACCAGCCTTGCATCCCAGGGATGAAACTGACTTGATCCTGGTGGATAAGCTTTTTGTTGTGCTGCTGGATTCGGTTTGCCAGTATTTTATTGAGGATTTTCACATTGATGTTCGTCAGGGATATTGGCCTAAAATTTCCTTTTTTGTTGTTGTGCCTCTGCCAGGTTTTGGTATCAGGATGATGCTTGCCTCATAAAATGAGTTAGGGAGGATTCCCTCTTTTTCTATTGATTGGAATAGTTTCAGAAAGAATGGTACCGGTTCCTCTTTGTACCTCTGGTACAATTTGGCTGAGAATTCCTCTGGTCCTGGGATTTTTTCAGTTGGTAGGCTATTAATTACTGCCTCAATTTAAGAACTTGTTATTGGTCTATTCAAGGATTCGACTTCTTCATGGTTTAGTCTTGGAAGGGTGTATGTGTCCAGGAATTTATTCATTTCTTCTAGATTTTCTAGTTTATTTGCACAGTGGTGTTAATAGTATTCTCTGATAGTAGTTTGTATTGCTGTGGGATCTGTGGTGCTATCCACTTTATCATTTTTTACTGTGTCTATTTGATTTTTATCTCTTTTCTTCTTTATTAGTCTGGCTAGCTGTCTATCTATTTGCTGATCTTTTCAATAATCTAATTCCTGGATTCATTGATTTTTTGAAGGTTTTTCATGTCTATCGCCTTCAGTTCTGCTCTGATCTTAGTTATTTCTTGTCTTCTGCTAGCTTTTGAATTTGTTTGCTCTTGCTTCTCTAGTTCTTTTAATTGTGATTTTAGAGTGTTGATTTTAGAACTTTCCTGCTTTCTCTTGTGGGCATTTAGTGCTATAAATTTCCCTCTACACACTGCTTTAAATGTGTCCCAGAGATTCTGGTACATTGTGTGTTTGTTCTCATTCGTTTCAAAGAACATATTTATTTCTGCCTTCATTTCATTATTTACCTAGTAGTCTTTCAGGAGCAGGTTGCTCAGTTTCCATGCAGTCGTGTAGTATTGAGTGAGTTTCTTAATCCTGAATTCTGATTTGATTACACTGTGTTCTGAGAGACTTCGTTATGATTTCCATTATTTTGCATTTGCTGAAGAGTGTTTTACTTCAAAGAACTTAAACAAATTTACAAGAAAAAAAACAACTCCATCAAAAAATGGGCAAAGAATATGAACAGACACTTTTTAAAAGAAGACATTTAGGCAGCCAACAAACATGAAAAAAGTGCTCATCATCACTGGTCATTAGAGAAATGGAAATCAAAACCACAATGAGATACCATCTCACAGTAGTTAGAATGGTGATCACTGAAAGGTCAGGAAACAACAGATGCTGGAGAGGATGTGGAGAAATAGAAATGGTTTTACACAGTTGGTGAGAATGTAAATTACTTCAATCATTGTGGAAGACAATGTGGTGATTCCTCAAGGATTTAGAACTAGGAATATCATCTGACCCAGCAATCCCATTACAGGGTATACACCCAAAGGATCATAAATTATTCTACTATAAAGACACATGCACACGTATGTTTATTGTGTCACCATTCACAACAGCAAAGACTTGGAACCAACCCAGATGCCCATCAATGATAGATTGGATAAAGAAAATGTGGCACATATACCCCATGGAATAGTATGCAGCCATAAAAAGGACAAGTTCATGTCCTTTGCAGGGACATGGATGAAGCTGGAAACCATAATTCTCAACAAACTAACACAAGAACAGAAAACCAAACACCACATGTTCACACTCATAAGTGGGAGTTGAACAATGAGTATACGTGGACATAGGGAGGGGAACATCACACACCGGGGCCTGTCGGCAGTTGGGGGGCTAGGGGAGAGATAGTATTAGGAGAAATACCCAATGTAGATGATGGATTGATGGGTGCTGCAAACCACCATGGCACATGTATACCTATGTAACAAACATTCACATTCTGCACATGTACCCCAGAACTTTAAGCATAGTAAAAAAAATGCACTTCCATTTTCTCATCAATCAAATTACCAAAAATTTAGAGAGAGGAATCAGTCCAGGAAAACATGGGGAAACAAGCCCTCTCCTAGATTGGTCCTATGTGTCTAATGATCTTTTTGAAAAAGTGTATGTACACACACGCACACGCACACATACCTTTTGAATCAGCATTTTACTATGTGGAATATATTATAAGAAAATAACTGAATAGCTATGTAAAGTATATGTAAAGGAATGTTTATCACTGCTTATTTGAAAACAATTAATAACCTAAATGTTCAGCAATAGCAGATGGCTAACTGAATTATTTTATTTATATGATAGAATAACATTCATTAAAATGACCTATGTCTATTTTGACATGGAAGTACATTTATGAGATATTGTCAAGTAAGTTATAATATGGTCCAAATTTATAAAAAAAGTATATTCATAAATTATCGTAAGAGAAATTTTACATATATCCATAAGAATATAAAGTATTCATTTCTACTTGTGAATATTGTCCAACTTTTCTGAAAAGAACACTTATTAAATGTGGGAGCAAAATGGGAGAAACTTGCCCTCACCCCTGATAGCTGCCGTGCTTGCTTGCTTCTGTCCCTGCCCTCAGTAAACATTGAGCACGCTGAAGACCATTTGGAAAAAAAAAAAAAAAAAGAGAATATATTGTTTGACAGTATATGGGGAACAGATTTTAAACAGATTGGGACACTCATATACAATACTCACAATGTCATGCATTTTTTGGATTGCGTTCTAAATTACCTTATGTGTTTTCTAAGAGTGTGCAGAATATTTTATTTCCACCTCTTTGTAATAGATAGAGTTTAGAACAGATGTAAATTCTTAAATAGCCCATCTTTTCTTTAGAGTGGTTAAGGAGCATTAAACATATTCTGAAAAAAAGCAGTACATTAACTTAAAACTCTATAATGATAAAGAGACAAAAATCATAAATCAATATTAAAATAATAAATATGTGTAAAAATATCAGTGGCTTAAGAAAATGTTGCTTTATCTTCTAATTAATGCAAAGATTTTTTATTTCTGTAAATATTTTCATTCAATTTGAAACCAATCAAAAGGATATTATAATGTCTAAAAAATATTTAATAAGTGAATAGAACCCAGTTGATAGTAGTGCAACAAAAAAAAAGTAAAAAATGGAATCTGAAGCTGCTGTTAGCAATTTGTAAATGTGTCAAAAATATGTGACAGAGGAGAAACAATTTCTTCTGCCTAAATTGTCATCCTTGGCCTATTATGCCAGGTACATGTATTTAGACACTTTCAATGAGTTATCAAGGGATCATATTCCAAAGTCATGTGTTGTTTGGGAATTCAAGCTGAGTGGCCTGATGTACTAAATATTCTGGTATGGCTAATGAGCGAAATCTCAGGAAGAAAATCTAACCTGTCAGCTTCTTGATTTTGAGTACTGTGACCTAAACTCACATATGCCAAGGTCTCTGCAATGCCAGGAGGCAGTTTGGGGGATTTAATGCCATAGATACAGTTATAATTAATTTGATTTAATCTCATTAAATCTTTTCAGTGATCTGTGGCACATTTACCTTTGTTAGAACAAACTAGTTTAGATATTTTGTCTCCATGTGGGTGAATGTATACACACACAGAAGTACACATACATATTTTCAAAAGCTTTTAGCTTTAATCTTTGCTAATGTTGTAAGCATAAATAAAAACCAAGAAAATTCTACAGCAAAACAAATAATAGTATAATTGTTCTGTATAATTTGGCTCATTTTTGAGATTTGATATTCAATTTCGAGTGTGCCGTAAGTCCTTAGATACTTTACAGATAGTACATAACTGATGCCTTAGTCAATCTTGATAGGTATTACCTGCAGGCTTTACATGTGTTCATATTTGTGTAGTAACAGTAATACTACTACAGATGTTCCTCAACTTACAATGCAGTTACACCCAGATAAACCCACCTTGAGTTGAAAATATTGTAAGTGGAGAATATGTTTAATACAACTAACATACCCAGCATCATAGCTACGCCTAGGCTACCTTAAATGTTCCCAAGACACTTATGTTAGCTTAAAATTGGGCAAATTTTCTAACACAAAGCCTATTTTATAATAAAGTATCAGATATCATATGGTTGTTTATCTTTGTGATCACCTGCTGACTGGGAGCTGTGGCCTACTGCTACTGCCCATTATCCTGAGAGAGAATCATACCACATATTGCTAGCCTGGAAAAAGAGCAAAATTCAAAATTTGAAGTAGAATTTCTACCAAATGCATGTTGCTTTTGCATCACCATAAGGCTGAAAAATTGTCAGGTAAACCATTGTAAGTTGGGACTGTCTGTATTCCTACTCCTCTTTCTGGATACTCTGCTATAAAGCTTTAATATATTACCTGATTTCCATTGTACAGAGAATTTAAAATACAGAATATAATTTAACATTTCAAAGTTTAATCTTTACCACTAAGTAAATAATAGAAAATTAATCTTACAGTGACATCAACTGATACAATTCTATTGTTTTTCTATTATTAAATATATATAAACAGGCCAGGAGCAGTGGCTCACACCTGTAATCCCAGCATTTTGGGAGGCTGAGGTGGGCCGATTGCCTGAGCTCAGGAGTTCGCTACCAGCCTGGCCAACATGGTGAAACCCTGTCTCTACTAAAAATACAAAAAAGTAGCAAGGCGTGGCAGCATGCACCTGTAGTCCCAGCTACTTGGAAGACAGAAGCAGGAGAATTGCTTGAACCCCAGACATGGAGGTTTCAGTGAGCCAAAATCACGCCACTGCACTCCAGTCTGGATGACAGAGCAAGACTCCGTCTCAAAAAAATTATATATATATATATATAAATATATAATATATAATATATATAATATATAATATATAATATATATAATATATAATATATAATATATATAATATATATAACATATATTATATATTATATATAATATATTATATAATATATAATATATGTTATATATATTATATATATAAAATTTTATATATATAAAATATATACTATATATACATATATATAGTACTCGTTTTATAAAATTAAGCATTCAATGTCATTATTGTATTTGTTCTACTATCCTATTTTATTTATTTTGCCATAGAAACACCTCACCCTTTGCTTGTAAGTCTTAGTTATGCAACATGGCTTTTCAGCCAAACAGCATATTTCCCAGCCTGACTTGCAACTACATATGGCCATGTGGCTAAGTTCTTATGGGTGGAATGTGAGTAGAAGAAAAGCAAGCAACTCTGAGATAATTTTCCCTTGGCCCTCACTGTCTTTCTTCTTTCTTGGAGGCTGAAATATTTTTGTGATAGTGACAACAGCTTTGACTATGTAGATAAGGGCACCACTCTGAGGAAGGTGGAGTGACAGGCTTCAAAGTTGGAAACACTTAATGAGCTCATGAAGCTACAGCTTCACTTTTTCTGGACTGCTAAGTATTAATAATTAAAAAGATAAGTCTTTTCTTATTTGAGCCATGTATATTTTGAGATTCTTTGTCAAGACAAGTTAAGCTGTACTGTAAACAATATGTTTGGTTTCAACAAAAATATGGAAATACAGGTTACCTCAAATAATTTCCAGGGTTCTCCAAGAAATCTGAAAAGAGAAGTTATTCATAGTGTTGCATACTGATAGTTTAACTACTTTTCATGTGTTAACAATGTTTCTAATTTTCTTTATATATCAGAGAAGCATATCTGAAAAGCATGCAGGTATCATATTGCTTTTACTTGGATGTTTTTACAAGTGATGAGTCAGGGTAATTAAAGTTTATTCTTTGAAGGTGGAAAGAATGTCACTTTTTATATGATAAGTTTTCTATAATATTTAATCTTTTAATAAATTATAATTTTTATTATATTACTAAAATGTTTTTAATACCTAAAAATTACTTCTATTCAAAAAGAAGTATAGATAATAAGTCTATTGAAATGATAAAATGGAATCATACAAAAATGCTCAATTTATACAAAAGGCAGAAAAAGAGAAAAACAAGAACCTAGAGATAAAGTCATAATTATTGATAAGAAACTTGATGCTATTCCAAGAAGATCAATAGCAAAGCAAAAATGTCCCCTCTCACCACTACTGTTTAGCATCATTCTACAAATCCTAGCTAATGCAAAAGGATAAGAAAAGGAAACAAAAGGAATGCAGATAAGGGAGGAAGAAATAAAATTGTCTTTGTTCACACATGACAGATATATTTGCTGACAGATGACAGATTTTCTGGATTTGTCTAACTAGAAAATCTCAAATAATATACAAATTTGAGAAGTGTCTAGAACTAATAAAAGATTACAGCAAGATTGTGGGATAAAAGGTTAATGTATTTGGCAGTTAAAAACACAACAACACTTACATATGCACCAAAGTAAAGAAAATACTTAGTTATAAATCTAACAAAATATGTACAAAGAAATACATACAAAATCAATGATCTAAATAGATATTCCATGTTCATGGATAGGAAGAGTCAATATTTTTATATTGTCAGTTTTTCCTAATTGATTAACAGATTTAATGCAGACCCAATAAAAACACCAAAAAGTTACTTTGTAAGTTTTAAAGTTTATATGAAATAGTAAAATAAATAGATTGGCAACACAATACCAAATACATAAATGTCAGAGGACTGGCACTACTACCTGACTTAAGGACTTACTATAAAGTTACTTACTAGCAAACAAAATAGTATTTGTGAAAGTATAGACAAATAGATGAATGGAATAAAATAGAGAGGCCAGAAATAGTTCCACAAATATATTGTCAACTAGTCTTTGACAATGAAGCAAAATTAATTCAACAGATAAAGGACAGCTCTTTCAACAAATGTTTCTGGAACAACTAGAAATCCATGTGCAAAAAAAAAATAAATCTAGGCTCAGAACTTACACCTTTTATACAAAATAACAAAGTAAATCATAGATCTAAATGTAAAATACCAAACTCTAGCAGGTCTAGAAGATAGTTTAGGAGTACATATGGATCACTTTGGATTTACCAATTACTTTTTGGATATAACACCAAAAACACAATACCTGGAAGAAAGAATGAAATGTTAGAGTTGACTAAAATTAAAAACTTCTGCTTTGTGAAGATGCTGTTAAGATAATGAAGAGACAAGCAACAGATAGGGACATCTTTGTGAAACATATCCAATAAAAAACTACTATCCAAAATATACAAATAACTCTTAAAACTCAACAATAAGACAATAAACAACTGAATTTTAAAATGAGTAAAAATCAGGACACTTCATCAAAGAAAACATACAGATAACAAATAAATATATATAAAAGATATTCAATATAATTTATCATTCAGGAATTGCAAATTGAAACAATGAGTTACCACCACACATATGTTAGAATGGCTAAAATCCAAAACATTGACAGTACCAAGTGCTGACAAGTATGTGAAGCAGTGAAGGGGAACTCTCATTCATTGCTGGTGGGAGTGGAAAATAAAACAGCCATTTTGAAAGACAGTTTTGTGGTTTCTTACAAAGCTAACCATAGTCTTACCATATGATCCAGCCAGAGAAACCAGATATTTACTCAATTTGATTAAAATTTATGTTTATACAAAAAGCCTACACACAAATGTAGTTTTACTCATAATTGCCAAAAATTAAAAGTAACCAAAGTGTTCTTTAATAGGTAAATAGAAAAACAAACTATGGTACATTCATTCAATAGAAAAAGAAGCATTGACATAAAGAAATGGCCTAATAAACTATTAAAAGACTTGGAGGAATCTTAAATGCATATTGCTAAGTGAAAGAAGACAGTCTGAAAATACTACATATTGCATAATTCCAATTATATGACAACTTGGGAAGAAAAATCTGTAGAGAGAGTAAAAAGATAAGTGATGTCCAGGGCTTTGGGGTTGGGGGAAGGGATAAATAGGAGAAGCATAGAGGATTTTAGGGTGGTAAAACTATTCTGTGTGACACTGTAATGTTGGATTCATAATGATGCTTTTGTAAAGCTCATGGAGGTATACAAGACAAAGATTGAACCCAAATATTAACTATGTTCCATAGTTAATAATAATATATTAATATTGATTCATCATTTAATACAAATGTTCTATACAAATGCAAGATGTTAATAAAAATAAGACTTTGTGTGGTTGGTGGTAAAGAAGGTAGCTGGAAACTCTTCATACTCTGTGAAACTGCTTTGTAAAACTAAAAACTTTCTAATAAATAAAGTCCATTAAAATATGCTATCTGATTGGTTAAATACTAAAATGTTCAAAATATTTTAAAATTTATTCCCTCATTTGATAATTTTAGTGTTTATGTGCATCCATAAAATAAGAAATTGTTAACATTTTTATTTCACTCTGCTTAGAAAATGTAATGATTCTTAATTCTCACCCTCATATGGTGTGCTAAAACATTTATCTTCAATTATTTTTTGCTTCCCCCAATATTAAGGAAAAAAAATACTAAGGCCATAAAACAGCCATTTCTGAGGTCTTTAAAAATGTGTAAAAGCATACTTTTAAAAAGTTAAATAACAGAAGATTCAACTACAAAATGAAATAACTCCTGGGTAAGAGTTTGAGGCAAAATACTTAAATAAAATGAAAAATAGAAGTCTAGGTATAATACCTTATTCTAGATCAAAGATAATCTCCAGGAATGAACACCTGATTTTTAAAATAGTTTTTAAAAGATTCAAGATTTTTCATTTTGAAAACTGGCATGCACATGTAAAACCTCAAATATAAGTATCTTCTCTAGCACTGTTAATGCCTCTCTATGTCTGTTCAATTGTTCTCATCTGCTTTTGCTACCACTTTGCCTATGTCTTGCTATTATCCTGTGATTTTTATTATTATTATTTTTTACTACTTTCAGAGTCACATTTCTTACTGGCTTTTTTTAAAAATTATTTTTGTAAAAGATTCTAAGGCCTTTGTATATGTTAGGGCACTTTTTTTCTTTTCCTTCTTTTTATTTTATTGTATTTATTTATTTATTTATTTACTTTTTGAGACAGAGTCTTGCTCTGTCGCCCAGGCTAGGGTGCAGTGGCATGATCTCAGCTCACTGCACCTTGGCCTCCCAAGTTCAAAGGATTCTCCTGCCTCAGCCTCCCAAGTAGCTGGCACCACAGTCACGTGCTACCATGCCCAGCTAATTTTTGTATTTTTAGTAGAGACAGGGTTTCACCATTTTGGCCAGGCTCCTCTCAAACTCCTGACCTCAGGTGATCCACCCACTGTGGCCTCCCAAAATGCTAGGATTACAGGCCTCCCAAAGTGCTAGGATACAGGCACTGCCTTTCTTTTCTTTTTTCTTTCTTTCTTTCTTTTTTTTTTTTTTTTGATACCATAACATTTTATATGATGCTTTTTAAAATATCTTTTATTTGAATGTTTTGGGAAAGTGAAACAGGAAAAGAGAGTCTGCAACAATTAGGTCGCACCACAAGTGCAAAGGGAATGCTAAGGACCTGTAGCTGAAAATATCTGTACACAAGAGACATCAAATATTATTTTCCATGGCTGGGCGTGGTGGCTCACGCCTGTAATCCCAGCACTTTGGGAGATCGAGGCAGCCTGATCACTTGAAATCAGGAGTTCGAGACCAGCTTGGCCAACATGGTGAAACCCCGTCTCTTCTAAAAATACAAGAATTAGCCAGGCGCTGTGGTGAGCATTGTAATCCCAGCTACTCAGGAGACTAAAGCCCAAGAATTGCATAAGCCCATGAGGCGGAAGTTGCAGTGAGCTGAGATGGTGCCACTGCACTCCAGCCTGGGTGACAGAGCAAGAATCCCTCAAAAAAAAAAAAAAATTTCCACTGGGTGCAGGCTTAAGGAATGAACATTTAGCCCAGGAACGTTTGTCGCTGAAGAGGGATCTTGTGCCTTGAGCTTAAATCCCTGTGTATAAGAACTATGTGCAGTTTCCTTTTAACCCTTCCTAACACTACATTTTACATCTAGATGAATATTTAGCTTTCCATTTTCTAACTGGACATTTGTATATACAGAGAACACTGGCATATAAACATTAAATCTGTTCCATTCTCTATGAACCCTTTTTCTTGTTCCTCAAATCATAATGTAAGTTCTTAGTCATCCTTGTTAGAAAGCCAGCATTTATTGATGATCTCTAAAAACTGTCCTGCTTCTAAGTCTAAATCTCATAGCAGATCAACAAGTTTACTAAATTCTCTATTCAAAATGTGCATTTAAAAATTACTTGCAAGTGGACTCAGGGGCAGTGACTCTTTCTCATGAAGAATTAGTATGTTGTTTTCTTTAATACCTGCTTGTAAGCTACATTTGGGCAGGAGCCATATAGTTTTTGTTTACAGTTGAATGCCCAACACAATGCCTGATGTATTGTTCACATGTTAAATTTTCTTGAATGAATTTTCAAATGATTATTTTAACAATAATCTCCATCCCCAACCTGAACTCTTATGATTGATCTGGGTGGTAGATATAGAAATCCCTCCAAAGCTCATCACATTAAAAAATTAGCAATGTCTGTAAATGGCAAAGAAATTTCCTACTGATTGTAAAGATCTACTACAGATAGACTTTTAAAGTTAAGAACTTTAAAAAGCATTTAGATTTTGAAAGACCTATCTGAGGTCCAGTTTGGGAAGAGGAATAGGGAGGAGTGCTAAACTGCCATGCATAAAGTGATCAAGAAATGAGGGGCTGGAGGCTGACCAACAAGGAGAAAAAGATTAAGAAGACCTCTTTTGAAAGAAGTCCAGAATTTAAGGGAGAATGTCCTAAGAAAATCTCCCCATAATAAGTAATAACCAATTGGAAGACTGAGGATTCTAAGGTATGTTCTATATAGTAATATCATTATAATCCCCAAATTCTATCTTGTATGTCAGTCTTGTGTAAACTGTGTTCTAGGTAAATGAGGGCGATTTCTAGCATCCAAAACCCACATCCCGATTACCTTATAAATGTTCTATATCCAATATAATTTAAATTAAACATTTGCTTGTCCTCTTGATTTATAACACAGGAATTTTACTTAAGTCAGGAAAAAGAAAAACTCTCTAGAAAATAAAAGTTTCATATTTATTAAATTTATATTTATAAAATTTCAGGCAAAAAACCTAATTTTATTTAAATCTCTTCTGTACAATTTATTCATATTAAAAACAGATAATGCCCTATCAATTCATAGAGAAAGATCAACTGATATTATCAATTTAGTTTTCAAATGAATCTTTTGACTATTGTAAAACAGCTCAGATAAATTACAAAATTCTTCATCTGATACTATTTTATAAATTCTGTTTAATTATGTGAAGTTTTGAATTTCATATATATATTTATTGAGAATTCAGGTGATAACTAATGTTATAATAATTTTAAAGAAATCTCCAACAAATTCAGTTTCCATTTTAAATATTGCTATTTAAATTTAAGTGTTTTTTTTAGAAAACAATCACACACGAGCCTTACCTAATAAGTACTGTGTAAATTACAATCAAGTAATGTAAGTGTTCTTTTAGAAAATAATCACACATATGAGCCTTACCTAATAAATAGTTTGTAAATTATAATCAAGAAAATTATTTTTTAAAATTTACTTGGTAAATTAAATCTATTAATTCCCCAAGGTGTTGTAAAACCAATTATGGCATTATCCATCTCTCTCATTACCTAAACATAATGCTAGCTGCCTAAAGAGGTACTCCTAGAAACACAGTAAGTGTAAAGGTAGATCAAATAATATTGTAGAAAAAACTGCAGAGAAACAGAGAAATCCTAAAACTGGAGGAACTTATTAAAAGTTATGAGAGAGAGAACAAAACGAACCAGAGAGAAAGAAAGTGAGGGCTATATATAGCTTTACAATTGGCCACTTACCCGCCTCTGCAGCATGTGTAATGATTAATTCTGATTGAAGAACAAAGACTACTGGTTTGATGTGCTTAACTAGCTGAATTCCTAAGAGGAAAATGAACTGACAAGTAAAAAGAGACAGACGATTTTAATTTTGAATAATCTGAAGTATAACTAAATTTTGATAGGGGCAAAACTATTAAAAAGTGTATTTAATTTAACTTGAGTCTAATAGTCATGTTTCCTGGCCTCTCTAAAAGACCAACACATGTTCATAAGTCTAAACATAAAATTTCTTTTTTAAATTCACATTTTGGAGATTCTAATATTACAATGTGACTTGTAATTAATGTCAAAAGACATTCTGTAGCTACTAGGCTGGGGGGTACATTGTGATTACAGACTGTTGTCATTCTGTGTAAGTGACCAAACTTAGCCATTCAAATGGGTCAACTCACCTAACTGTCAACATTGTGAATCATTTTTATCTGAGGCACGACGAGCAGTCTGACTTCAACCCCGATCCCTCTTTTAACTTAAAATGTCTCCGATTCTGTTCCATTGTCCTAATTTGGTCTTGAGATCTCTCACAGGAGGGTGGCTATAAACTCAAGCCCTACGTAGGCTGGACTCTAGATTTTGTCAATGTGCCTTTTGTGGGATACTTTTTTACCCTGGCAACTGCCTAATGCTTAAGTGTTGACCCATGACCAGGTGTCCCTCTCACAGGAAACTTGTTTATACTGGCAGAGACTTTTGTGGCTCCTGTATGACCTGTGTCCAGTTTATTCCTGCCAGGATAACCACTCTATAGGAGAGGCTTGACCAGGGATAAAGTTAGATCCAAGTGTGTCAGTCCAGTGAGACACAGAGGCATCAACGCAACAAAAATGCATAAAATAACAGAAGCAGTCTATTACTCACAGATCTACAAGAGAAGAGGAGTGCCAGCAAAGGCCAATAGGAAGATGGCAGGAGCAATGCACTCAGCCAGCAGGTGGGGAGCCAAAGAGCGATGGACCTATGGACCTGGGCCTTTATTGGGGGCTGGGGCATTATCCAAGCAGATTTCCTGCAGAGAATTCTAACTGGTGGGTTTGAAGCAGGCAAATTTTAAGTCATGTTGGGTCATGCTGTGACTGATCATGATTACTGTGGCTTACCTTCACAGACCATGTGGGATGCAGGGTCGGCGGAAAAAGTCAAATAGTTTGTATCTGCATGTCCTGGAGGAAACGGTTACAAGGAAATAGCTGTATGTCAGACAGATATATGGATTAAGCACATTGGGAAACTGGGAGGAGGCAGAGAACTGGAGACTGTGTGAAGGGTGACTAAGTCTTGGTATTAGAAAGTTAAACCTGTATTCAAAATGGATGGTAAGGCAAATTAAAATTATAGAAATCTGCTGTAGAACATAATTTTGTAAAATTCAGTATTGACACAAAAATTTTTGATAGGTGTTCTTCACCTTTAGAGTATAGGCAATATCAATGGTCCAATTGTTGGGGTCAACAAACTTGAAGCTATTCTTGATTTCCTCCTTTCATATTCCACCATATTTAATTAACAAATGCATAATCAAAGCACTTATTATTTTCATTGCTATCACTTGGATCCAGTATACTATACTGGATTAATATACTGAGTATAGCGTAATTAATCACCAATATTATTCCATAGCCTCTTTATTAGTTTCTATTCTTGACTCTTTCTCTCCTTTATTTTATTCTAACAAAACAGCAAGCTATTCTTTAAACAGAGTAATTATCTTAAATGGCCTTTACCATCTCATCTCATTCAAAACAAAACCAAAAATCTTTAAAATTTCTAAGTTATTATGTAATTTGGATGATGACTTCTGGTTTAACTTCATCTTTTATGTCTCTCCCATTCCTTCTGGCATACTAGAATATTGTAATTCATCCAATGAGTCAAGCATTTTCCTTTTTCAAAGGCTTTACATTTGTCATTTCCTCTTTCTAGAAATGTCGTCCCTCAGATACATGCATAGATTACTTTCTCACTTCAGGTGAGAAATCAAATATCATTAGACTTCTTTCAACACCCTATAGAAAACCATAACCCTGAACTTCAACCAGGAAATTCTCTATGTACCCTGCCCAGCTGTAATTTTCTTTATAACACTTAAAACCATATGACATGTTAGGCATTGACTTGACTGTTTCTTTATTTTCTGTGTCTTCCCATTAGACTAAGTTCTGTGAGTTAAGAATTCTTTTGTTTTGTTTCCTAGGGTTATAGCTTTAATATCTAAGATAATGTCTGACACATATTAGGCAGTCAACAAATATTTGTTTAATAACTGAATAAATGAATAGAAAAGTGAAATAAAAATATAAAAAGCCTAGCAGTCAAACAAAACAAAAATATATAAGGTTGTTTTGAATAAAACTGTATGACTTTACTGCTAAGATTTTTAAAAGAGCTGCAAGTTTGGAGAGGTATATCATGTTTATTATATTGTAAATACTTTAAATCTCTCTAAATTAATGTATAAATTTAGTGTAAGCCCAATCAAAATTTCAAAGTGATTATTCATGGAAGCCAACATGTTGATTATAAAATTCATGTATAAAATTTTAATGTGCAATTCTAGAAGGGAAAAAATAGAAATAAAGATGGGAAATTATCATACCAAATCTCAAGACATATTGATATATCTAGTAATTTAAACAGTGTGATTTGGCAGAGCAAAAGACATATAGATCAAAATCCAGAAGGAGGTTCATGGACATGTGAGTATTTGTCTTTTTGCAGATGTGGCAGCTTAAAAAGGGGCACACCAAGGATAGACTTGCCCATAAACAGTGCTGTGAAAATAAAATAAAATTCTAATCTCAAAACATACAGGCAAAAATTTCTAGATGGCTCAAAAGCACATATTTAAAACAAGCTTAAAATTATTGCAGAAAATATTAAAGAGTATATATATATATATACATATATATATACATATATATATGTATATATATATATACATATATATATATACATATATATATGTATATATATATATATATAAACTTGTAGTGGGAAAATCTGTTTAAGGCAAGAGAATTCATCAAGAAAACTGTTGAGTTTTATTGCATCAAAGTTAAAATTTTCTTCAAATGTTCTTTATTTCAAGATACACTGTAACAAAGTTAAAATGCAAATGACAGACTAAAAGAAAATATTTGCAACATTTCTAACAAAGTTCTATATAAAACCGAAAATATATTTAGCTACAAGTATCTATATAAACAAAGTATAATAATAGTTTTTATACTTAGCAGAAAAATGGTCCATGAGTATAGAGAGGCAGTCCACAGAACGGAAAATCAAAATGCTGATTAAACATATAAGTAAATGTGTGACAATCTGATTATCTTTGCCTGTACTCAGGAAAATGTCCTATCAGCAAGAAGAACAGTAATGGTAATAGCATGAGTTGGCAAGATTTGTGGAGAATTCACGTTTACAACAGGTGAATGGGTAAATTGGTGCATCCAGTTTCGTGGGCAATTAAAATTTCTTAAAACCAAAAGTGGAAGATGCCACTGACTCTCTTCATGAAAGCACTTACAGTCATGTTACACAAGAAAACACAGCTATGGAAATGTTGCTTACAAAAACAAAAATCAGAAAAAGACATAAATAGTCTTTCAATGTGTAGTTAGGAAATACATATGTAAGTTGTGGTGTAAATAAATAGCAATGAAACAGTAAACTAGATCTGTACACAACTTGGAGATTTTAAAAATATATTAAGTTAAAAGCATATACATGAATCTATATGCATACTATATCCGCTATATCTGCATGACTTAAATTTTCCTTTAAAATGTCATCATGCAAAACAAAGGCATTTTATGTAGATGTAACATTTTATATTTTTTAAAAGCTTGGGTTTGTAAATATTTATGAATCAAAATAATAGTAATAATTGCCAGTTAGGCAAAGAACAGTAACATAGGTTTGTCCCAATTTAGTATTCTTTGTTATGACCTATATTTTTAAGCATTCAATTCATGAATTAAAAATTATACTTACATGCTTAAAATTAATTTTCAAATCAGTGATGTATGTGAGTTCATTAAAAAGACATATGTCTTAATTTTTAATGTAGTGTTCCTCATTTTACCCCAAAAGTGTTATTAAATTAATGATGTGTTTTACTTAGAGTTAATGACTTAATAAATTTAATGAAATATGAGATTTTTTGCTTCTAAATAATGCAAAATGGGAGGGATTATATCAGAGACCTCTAAAGAAAAACTGAAGCAACCAAGTATTTGTGGATCAAGATTTCTAAATATTCAATCACTAGTGTATATGCTCATGTTACTGCCTTTGGAAAGTTTGGCTTTAAAGTAAGTATGCAAACATAACATATTGTTCACATTTACTCCTGAAAAAATCCTTGTAAGAGCAATATATTGGAAATAAAATTCTCACCATAAGCCCATGCTGCATTATTTTTTCCCAGTGCTGAAAGAAAGAGCTCCTTCTTTTTTCTTTTTTCTCTTTCTTTCCCTCCCTTCCTTCTTTTCTTTCTTTCACTCTTTTTGTTTTCCTATTAGGCATAAAAGACTTGCTAAAAAAGGAAGAAAAAAATACTCCTTACTCATTTAAATACTGGAATTTTGCTCATTCCATTTAGATGTTTGTACTGAGAGGGTCAGAAAGAAGAAACCACAAATTCAAATCTTTGATCTCATGTTTACTCCGGAGAATGAATTTACTGAGTAAAATCAATTTATTTAAGTTACTATTTATTATTTTGTTTTATTTTTCTTTGTTATTGGGTTGATTTCTCAGATAAAGATGTATTTGCTGAAGCCAAATGCACTTAGGACAGGAAATTGTTGACCCCAGACATTAAGAAAAATAAAGAATGAGGCCCTAATCACGGTCTTCAAGAAGCTTATCACTTAATTGAGAAGGAAATACACCTACACAGCTTGGGAAAGCAATAATTGGCACAAAAATATTAGTTGTTCATTCTTTTACTACTTCTTTAGAGCTCAAACCTCTTGCATTCTGTTAGGAGATGAAAATAGCAGCAAAAAGAGCAGTTACGGCATAGTTTTCACAATCTTAAAGAGTATCTCAAAGAATGAAGTTCTGATTTTTTTCAGGCCTGAGTTCCTTCCAGAAGCTATGTTACCTACACATGGGTAGGCAATGTGGAATCATTAACATTTAGTTTCTTTACCGTAAAGTAGGCGGCATGAGTAGGAGAGGCATTATATCTTCAGTACCCAAGAAATGATCAACAAATAGACTCAGTGTGATTCCTTTTATTTATATCTCAAGTTTGTCCTCCCATGATCCTTATTTTGTTTCATGCAAAGCTCTCTACCAGATTTCTCCCCTGACTTTTCCTAAGGTGAACTGTGTGTTCCATGTGTTATGTTCCTAAGTATAGTTTATTTCAATTACATAGGACTTTTATCATGAACATGAAGAACCCCTCTCCAGGACAACTTGGACCACTCTATTCAATTAAATTTTAGCCCACCTTCTATTTTAATGGTTCTTGGTTCAACTCAGTCCTGTGGTCACAAGAAAGTAAACATTTTGCAGCATCTTTGTTTCATCGGTATCTTCACATATATCATAACCAAGTCCGCATTCTTGAATCCAGTCCTTTTACAAATTTTCTTTGTACTTCTCCCATAAAGGATATGCCCAAGTATACATAATTGTGCAATTATAATTTTGCAAACTCTTCTACCAAGTATCTCTTAGGTATTTATTATAAAACCTAATACATCTCCCTCGAGTTACATGCATCCTCTTCTGATCAAAGAAACTCAGCACTCCCGACCTGATAGATAGTTTCCTAATTCTCAGCTACCTACAAGAAGAAGCTCATTAGGCATTTCCTCATACCTTTGCTTCATATAACTCCGACACTTAATACTTATCAGCAATCATAATTATAGGAGAACACATACAAGCATTTTATTCAACTTTAATCATGTCCTTCTTAAGTGTTCACCATAACATGGGTCATAATGAGCACTGTGGTGGATTTATCAATGTAGAGTATCTCTCATTAATAAAAGAAGAAACACCGCACTAGCATAGGTGTAGGATATGTTTTGTTTCCGTGCCCTTTTCAATGGCATTACTTAGATGTGTGTCATTCAAGCTGGTGAAATTCAGGAGTGAGGTGATATTACTGTATCGACTTGTTAGCTGTAAGTGAGATTTCAGCTGGCTAGAAGTGCAATGGATTTAGATATGTAGAGGGAGAGGAAATATATTCTAGACACAAAAGATAAGATGAGTAAAGAGAACAAAGACATAGCTAAGAACCAGCATCAGTGCCCACACTCCACCACTCTCCTATTAGCCAGGAGGGACATCCTTTGCTCCCAAATAAGGGAGTTTTTTATATTCCACTAGAGGACATGGTTCCAAAAACTGTCTTTTCTTTTCTGAATCACCAACTTTTTTATTCTTTTTAGTATATTTCACACTACATACAAACATTCTCTTATGTCTTTAATGTTAAACAACAACAAAAACAACAACTACAACTCACCCCAGCTGTCATTTCTACCATCAGTTATCACTCTAGCATTCCCTCCTTTCTATGCCCTTTAAGACAAAGTTTCTTGAGCCAGGCACAGTACTTCACATCTGTAATCTCAATGATTTGGGAGGCTGAGGAGAGAGGATGGTGCAAACGATGTAAAAGGCTTGCTAAAAAAGAAAAAAAGGAAAAGAAATCACTCCTTATTCATTTAAGCACTGAAATCTTGTTCATTTCATTTAGATGTTCATATTCTGAGAGGGATAGGAGAAAGACACCACACATTCAAATTTTTTATCTCATGTTTACTCTGGAGCACGGGTTTACTGAGTGAAATAAATTTACTTAAATTACTGTTTTTCATTTTGTTTTATGTTCATTTGTTATATTGTTGACTTTTCTCAGGTCAACTAAAGATGTACTTGAGAGATCAAAGACATAGCCAAGAACCAGCCTAAGTGCCCACACTCCACTGCTCTCCTATTAGCCAGGATGAATTCCTGTGCTCCTAAACAAGGGAGCTTTTTATATTGTTAGAGAACATGGCTCCAAAACCTGTCTTCTATTTGCTGAATTACCAACTTTTTAATTATTTTTAATATTATTCACTCTTGACACATGGCCAGGAGTCTGAAGACAGCTTAGGCATCATAATGAGACCCTGTCTCTGAAAAAAATAAAAATAAAAATATTACTAACTAGCTGGGCCATGGTAGTATGTGAATGTAAACCCAGCTACTCAGTAGTCTGAGAAGGTTGAGGGTACAGTGTATCATAATTGTACCACTAGTGAGAATCTGACTCAAAAAAATAAAAAAAGACAAAGTTTCTTGAAAATTGCATATATTCTCTGATACTAATCTCTCCCATTCTTTCTTGAACCACATTTTCCCCATCATGACTCCAGTAAAGTAGTTCTTGTTAGGGTTGTTTATTCCAATGACAGCTCTCAGTCCACATCTCGCTTGACCCTTCAGCAATAGCTGACATAATCAATTTACCTCCTTCAAACACTTACTTTATCTGCTCCAATGACACTTGTGCTAATCTCCTGTGCTTATTTTCCCCAATTATCTTTCCTTGTTTTTCTTTTTCTTTTTTTTTTTTCCCTGTTATCTTCTGTGTTACACAAAATCCAAATCTCTGTAGGTTGTCTTTCCCGGGCACCTGACTTTCAGCTTAGTTCAGCCAGCTGGAGACCCTGGTTTGAGACCAGAAGTTGGAGCAAAGGAGAAGTCAGAATATTATTCCCTATCTCCCTTTCCTTCTGGTGTTAAACTTGGCATTGACTCTAACACTTATGTGACTCCAAGTAGGTAGGAAATAACAGGTACTTAGATTTTTCAGTGTTCCTATGGAAAGTCTTAATTCCTGAGACATAGAAAAGAATGGAATATAAAGACTTGTAATACTTGCTTTCATGTCTCTCTGAAACATTTTACTCTTGTTATACCATGAGAATTAGATTTATAACCATTAGTCTAGCTAATTGCTCTGATTTCAGAGGGCCAAAGGGGCCCAGATGAGGTCCGTAGGTTAAGCCCTAAGGTGCCAAGAATACTGAAGGATTTTCTCCCGAGGTATTTACATTTCAGATGGTATAAAGCCCAGAGGTTGGAGAAATCTCTAGGTCATAAGTGCCAGAGACACCCAGAGTTTATCTGACTCTTGGAAAGATATTAATACATTTATATTCCAAAAGGTTAAGGTAAGAATTCAGGATATTTTTCATAGTGTCTCAAGGGAGAAAAGTTGTTTCTTGCCCCTTTCATTTCAGAAGGGAATGAGGAAAGCTGTCTCTCTCCTATATAAAAATGGAAAAAAACACATTATTTTACATTTCTTGTCTATGATACACAGTTTATATGAAGAAGACATTTGGCTTGGATTCATTACACTGCTCTAGGGGTAAGACTTACGGTGTGAAGAAACATGTGGTCATTGTTTGCTTTGTTTGTGAATAATGATAATCTGCCTCAGCTCAGGAACACTCCATGTTTGCATGCAAGTTAAAATTAATGAAGAGACACATTACAAACTCAACAGCCACCTAATAGATGGGACCTCCATTATTCCAAATTCCACCAGCTGACCCCAAGCTCTAACTACCTAGAATGTTGCCCTCTCCCTTTCTCATTCAAGGCTAGGGCTGGTTTAGCATCTTTCTGATTCTAATCTCATCTCCTGGATGGCCGTTTAACAAATTTTATCACCTGAATAGCCACTTGCTGTGTCAAATTAATCTCTTTTAAATATTCTTTTCTATGCTTGACTCTTGAATGATACAGCATATCCCTTTCTGATATTATTTTTACTCCTATAATTACTCTTGTCTTCTTTTATAGTTATTCTGAAGGTCACCAGATATGGTTGTGTCAGATATAATCTGCACAATTGTAGTGGGTGCCATTTACATCATAGTCTATTTGCCCAAGTTCTAAATGCCAGAGTACTCCAGTGATCAGGGCGTGAGTATCATACATCCTTGATGACATGATCTACTTTAATGTTTTTCAATTTCATTTATATGCCAATGACACAAAAATTATATCTCCTAACTAAACAACTTCAGATTTATATGCTATTACTCTCCCCTTGCTAATGTCATCCCAGCCATACCACTCTTTTTATGATTAATTGAAATTATCTGATATACTCCTGAACTGGCTGTTCCCTCTGCATGGTTTGTTCTTCTCTATGATCTTGTATCATCAATCAGTATCTATGAAACTGTAGTGGGCGAATTTGTTAGCTAGCAAGTGGGACAAAATTTCAAACCCTTCATGGCTCTTGATAGTTTTGTTAATAAGAAGGGGATGCTGACAGAGACATGGCTTTCTGGAAGAGAATGGATGAAGGTCCCGATGAGCCAGGTTAGAGCACATGAAAGGACTCCCCAGGATCTGGTAGTAAAGGCTCTAATTGAAATGTCAAAGAGAATTAGTTAACCCAAAGAGAATTAGTTAACCCCACTATACTACCAGTTGTTTGTAGGCTGAGCAACAAGAGGATTTTTAAAAATATGTTCAAATGATGTTTGAATGTGGCTTACTCTCCTCTATGTAAGAGGAGGAAGGGATGTTATTGTGGCAATGGGTCAGTAAGTCTTGTGGTCTCAGCCAAAAGGCAATGTAGCTGCTGCTGCTGAGTCAATAATTCCCCAAAACTGGAAAAAAATATTGTCAGCAATAAGAAGACTGAGTTTTGGACGGACTGAAAACATTAGAATTGTGTTTGGTTGAGCTATGCAGATAGCTACCCAAACCCCAAAGTAAATGCCTAATCATGTGTATATACTGGCATGAAGCTACTGCTACTTTCCGTGTTTTGTGATCCCTAATTTCTCCTCTCCCCAACCTCAGCTATTTTAAGAATAAAACATTTTGGCATAACACCAAAGTATTCCAATCCCTAAGGGGAACCCATGCTCACAGACACACATCTGAATACCCTGGGGTATACTGGGGAGAAAGAGAATCTAAATTTGGGCATCTGCTGTATATAAATATCCAGGTCACCACCCTACCTGCTAACAGGAGTAAAAGAGTGCCTGAACTCAACAAGTGGGTTTAGGCAAGATGCACAGTGGGGAAGGGAAACTATCACAACCTGGTGTGTCTCCCTTGGGGTTGATTAAATGTAATATTGTTGTGAATTCCACTGATTAATGTATGTTTGGTGTTGATGTTATACATGCCCATATTGTGAATGTTTATAAATACTAGACTATACTACTGCACCTAGAAAGAGCAACGTATAGAAAAGTGCTAATTCCAGCCAGGCATGGTGGCTCACACCTGTAATCCCAGCACTTTGAGAGGCCGAGGAGGGCAGATCACAACTTCAGGAGTACAAGACTAGCCTGATGAATATGGTGAAACCCTGTCTCTACTAAAAATACAAAAATTAGTTGGTCGAGGTGGCACGTGGCTGTAGTCCCAGCTACTTGGGAGACTGAGGCAGGAGAATCGCTTGAACCCCCAGGCAGAGGTTGCAGTGAGCCAAGATTGCACCACTGCACTCCAGCCTGGGTGACAGAGTGAGACTCTGTCTCCAAAAAAATATAATAATAATAAAAAAAAGAAAAGTGTTAATACCTTTGAGACCTCATACCCTAAAATATTTCTGAGCAAAAAAAAAATCCCAATGACTAATTAATTTGCCAATTAGAGCCTTTGTTAAAAAGAGGCAGCTTTTATCCAGTGCTTTTGGTATTACATTGAAAAAATCATTGCAGTGATTTATTAAGCTATGTTTTCTTTCAGGAGTTTTACCATTTCAGATATTACATTATGAATCTTTAATCCATTTTTAGTTTATTTTAGTGCATGGTTTAAGTAAGGATCCAATATTATTCTTTTGCATGTGAATATACACTTTTCCCAGCACTATTTACTGAAAGAAGTGGTTTTTTTTTTTTTCCAAGTTTGCTTTGAATGTGTGGTCTCTCATAGTTCCATATGAACTTCAGAATGTTTTTGTTCTATACCTATTAAAAATGCTGCAAGGGACTGAACATTTGTGTCTCCCCAAAATTTAAATGTTGAAATCAAATTCCCAATGTGTAATGGTATGTAAAGTTGGGTCTTTTGGGAGATAATTAGGAATGAGGGTGTAGCCTTCATCACCAGGATTAGTGCCCCTGTGAGAAGAAGCCAGATAGCTAGTTCTTTCTCTATTTCTACAATGTTAGGATAAAACAAGAAGTCAAGAGACTGGTACTCAGAAAAGTACCCCCAGCAGAACCAGGTCATATTGTTAACCCTGATCTTAGATTTCTAACCTCCAGAATTGTAAGATATAAATATTGTTGTTTAATCCGCCTAGACTATGGCAATTTGTTACAGCAGCCCATGATAAGACAAATGTCAATCGAATTTTGATAGAGATTGCATTGAATTTGTCGATTGCTTTGGGGAGTAAGGGCATTTTAATAATGTCAAGTGTTCCAACTTATGGGCACTGATGTTTTATTTGTCTATTTAATTTCTTTTATCAAGAATTCATAGTTTTCAGTGTACACGTTTTTTACTTCCTTGGTTAAGATTATTTCTAAGTATTTGATCCTTGATGTTACTGTAAAAGAGATTTTTTTTCTTTTGTGTGTGTATGTGTTTTTTTTGTTTTGTTTTGTTTTAGGTGGAGTTTTGCTCCTATTGCCCAGGCTGGAGTGCAGTGGTGAAATCTTGGCTCACCGCAACCTCTGCCTCCCGGGTTCAAGCAATTCTCCTGCCTCCACCTTCCTGAGTAGCTGGGATTACAGGCATGCGCCACCACTCCCAGCTAATTTTGTATTTTTAGTAGAGACGGGGTTTCTCCATGTTGGTCAGGCTGGTCTCAAACTCCCGACTTCAGGTGATCTTCCTGCCTCGGCCTCCCAAAATGCTGGGATTACAGGCATGAGCCACCACACCTGGCCAAGATTTTTTTCTTAATATCCTTTTCAGATAGTTCATTGTTATTGTATAGAAATACAACTGATTTTTGTGTGTTGATTTAGTTTCTTGCAACTTTATTGAATTTATTAGTTCTAGCAATTTCTTTTAATGTGAATTCTTTAGGGTTAGCAACATATAGCCTTCTGATTTAGATGGCTTTTATTTCTTTTCTTGCCAGTTTAGCTATGACTAAAACATACAGTATTATGTTTAATATAAATGGCCAGAGTAGGTATTCTTGCATTGTTCCTGATCTTAGAGGAAAAAAGTGTTTTTCTTTTTTTTTTACCTTTGAGTATAATGTTACTGCAGGCTTTTTTCATATATGCCCTTCATTTTGTGAAGAAGGTAAATTCTCTCTATACTTAGTTTGTTAAGAGTTTTTATCATAAGAGTGTCAGATTTTGCCAAATGCTTTTCCTGCATCTATGGAGATGATTATGTGATTTTTTTCCTTCATTATATTGGTGTTATATCAAATCAATTGATTTGTGTATGTCAAACCATCCTTGAATCCCAGGGATAAATTTCATTTGATCATGGTGAATAATCCTTTAATGTGCTATTGAATTTTGTTTCTACTTTGTTTCTAAAGAATAGTTTTGCTGGGTATACTATTCCAGTCTACAGCTTTTTTTTTTTCTTTCAGCTCTTTGAATATATCATTTCTCTCTCCATTGACCTGAAATGTTTCTGTTGATAAATTCACTGAAGACTTATGGAGGTTCCCTTGTATGTGACAAGCTATTTTTATCTTGCTGCTTTCATATTCTTTTTCTTTGACTTTTAACTATTTGATTATAATTTGTCTTTATGTAGACTTCATATAAATCTGTAGATTCATATTACTTGAGGCCTTCTGAGTGTTATAAATCTAGATGTCCATGTCTCTCTTTAGATTTGGAAAGCATTCATCCATTATTTCTTTAAATACATTTTCTTTTCCTTTCTCTTCCTCTTTTCCTTATGGGACTCCCATAATGTATATGTTTGTTCATTTGATAGTGTTCTATAATCCACTCAAGGTTCCTGTGCACTTTCCTTGTTTTTTTCTTTTTTTGCTTCTCTGACAAGATAATTTCAAATGAGGTACCTTTGAGTTTGCCAATTCTTCCTTCTGCTTGATCAAGTCTGAAGTTGAGGCCCTCTAGTGAATTATTAATTTCAGTTCTTATATTCTTTAGCTCTAGAATTTCTATGTACTTTTTTAGAGTTACTACTTTATTTCATGTATAATTTTTATCATTTGTAATTGTTATTGTCTGTGTTTCTTGTATCTCTCTGAGATTCTTTAAAATGATTATTTTAAATTCTTTGTCAGGCAATTTATAGATCTCCATTGTTTCAGTTCACTCTTTTGATTGTGTTATGTTTTTCTGATTCTTTTTTTTTTCTTTGTAGCTTGCATTGGTATCTGTGCAATAATAGCCACTTCCCAATTTTTCAAACTGACTTTGACTGAGATAAGTCTTAACCAATGAGCCTAGCTAGAGATTCTAGATTCTTGTTCCTAGCTGCATCATGTGTCCAGTCTTTCTTTTGTTTTGGATTTTTGTTTTTCCCAAAAGTCTAAAGTTTGGACCTCCCTTTGATGTTGATTATTATCATCCCCTCAGTGTGCTATGTGAGGTGACACAGAAACCATCCCCTCAAATGGCACTCTGAACAGGCAGGGATGTTGAAGCCAGATTCCACATCTTTCTACTTTCTGGAGGAGAAGTCTCAATTATGTATTCTCCATATTTCTCAGAGTCAGGCCAAGCCATGGAAGATGTCCATGCTTTTTAACTTTGTTTCTAGCGGTCCCAAGTATCCATACTATGCTTTATTCTGGTCCAATTTTGAATTAAATTTAGTCTTAAGAAGCAAAGTCTAATTTATACCAGTGATAAGATGTAACTGAAAGTCAATAGCTAAAGAGAAAACTGTTAATTGAGATAAAAAATTAATTAGAGCCACCAATTTATAATTCTCCTAATTGACTAAAAACAAAATTTTCAGAGTCAAATTAGTATTACTCCTTTAAATTATTCTGTAGCTATTTATAGAAGATTTTCAGAGTGATAGTGTTTCCCTTTCTTCTTCTTCTTATTATTATTATTTTAAACATGGCCAAGCTACTTTCCAGCCAGTGTGGTGGTGACTGGTAGCCCAAATGATTGTTATTTTCTCTTAATTAGGTTGAAATCTATTGCTTACAGAATCTCTGAGTAAAACCATTTTTTTAATAATGTGCAATTTTAATTTACATTTCCCTGATTGTTACTGATGTTAAGCTAATGTTAAGTGATGATGCTAATTAGTTACTTATATCCTTGTTGACCATTTTTATAACTCCCCACGCCTCCGGGCTGGGGCCAACTGATCTGGAAACATGCCTGAGCTGCGGAAGGTGGAACTGAAAGAGCCTATTAATACATAAACACCTACTCTGGGACTTCGGGGTCACAGGCAGCCCTGCCAGGGTGTTGCTGCGTTCCTCTCAATGTGACACGCCTGGTCTGGTCGTGGGCCGCACAGAGCTGACTCATGTGTGGGCGCCTGGAGCGTCTGGCGGGATCCCACATTCACCCTCTCATGTGCTCCCTCCTGCAAGGGGCTGACTGCAGCGGGCCGAGTAGATGGGGAACCCCTGCTTCAAGTTCGGCAAAGTGGCCGAGAAAAATCCTGCTTCAGTTGGCCAGCAGCTGCAACATTACAATTAGATAGGAGGAATAAATTCTAGTGTTCTGATGCACAATAGTTTGACTACAGTTAGCAGTAATGTAATGTATATTAAAGATAGCTAGAAGATAGGCTTTTGAATGTTCTCAACACAAATAAAATGATAAATGTATGAGGAGATATATATGCCAACTACATTGCTTTGATCATTATACAATCCATATGAATTAGAACATCACATTGTACTCCATAAATATGTGCAATTACAATGTGTCTTTTTTTTTTTTTGAGACGGAGTCTCGCTCTGTCACCCAGGCTGGAGTGCAGTGGCGGGATCTCGGCTCACTGCAAGCTCCGCCTCCCGGGTTCACGCCATTCTCCTGCCTCAGCCTCCCAAGTAGCTGGGACTACAGGCGCCCGCCACTACGCCCGGCTAATTTTTTGTATTTTTAGTAGAGACGGGGTTTCACCGTTTTAGCCGGGATGGTCTCGATCTCCTGACCTCGTGATCCGCCCGCCTCGGCCTCCCAAAGTGCTGGGATTACAGGCGTGAGCCACCGCGCCCGGCCAATGTGTCTTTTTTTTAAAACAAAATCATTTCAACCAGTTAGTGTTAGGGATTATTGTTTTACCAATAAAAATGAAAACATTATAAAGTAACAGGTGAAATTAATTTTAATAACATTTTATTTACTGCAACATATCCAAAATATTTTTATTTCCACTTGTAATCAACATAAAAATTATTAGTGAGATATATTAAATCCATTTTTCTTAAGTCTTCAAAATCAGCTGTGTACATTATAATACATCTCAAGTAAGATAGAACATTGTCAACAGTGGAAGTGAACTGTAATCCCACCAAAATAATAAACTTATATTTAACAGAAAAGTATATAACACTTCAGTTTTTTAATTAAAATAAATTAGAATTAAAAATTTATTACCTTTGTTACACTAGCCCCATCCCAAGTATTCAATAGTCACTTGTGGCTGGTGGCTAACTCTTGAGCATCTCAGCTCTATAAAACACTGTGGGAATAGAAATTGGAAGGAAATAAATAAAACACCTAAAGAAAGAATATATGTCTGCTTAGGTTTACAATTTTTCCAGATGTACATAAGTTGAATTTTATTTAAGTACATCAGAAAAAGGTAATGTATAATCTGAGGACAATCATTTAATAATCTGAATTACTTTCATTACTTTTGAATTTAAAAATCCGTCCCTAATTTGTATATTTAAAAGAATTTTTATGGTATAAAGCTAACATTTTTATCCCTTATTAAATAAAAGTTATATCATAGTGTGATCATAGTCTTGATATATAATTATGAAGACTCAACAATAACTTTTTTAAATGAATAACTCAGTCATAAATATAAGAAAATGCAGTTGTAATTTCTCATTAGATTGACTGTAACATAACCATAAATTAATCATTTAATCTTGTTTTAAATGTAAGTACATTACAACATATACTAATATATTTAAGCCAAAGAAAGGTTATATGAGTTTAGGAGGCAAAAATGTGATACAAGTGATACATATCCTAAGAAACGTAATAGCAGTATTGTGTAACTAATTAGAATTGCTTTTACAGAGAAACTGTATTTTTAAATACCTTGCAGATGATGCATTCTGCAATTTTTATTGCCATCAGCTGCTGCAAATGGTGAAAAAATGAAGTCCCACAGTCTTGTCTAGTTCTCAACTGCCACATTGTAACTCCACCATAAATCACATTCTCCTGGCCTCTTGAAACTTCTCCATTTTCTCTCTGAGCTATTGTCTTTCAGAGAATGGAGTTCAGTTACTACATCTGGCTCCTTGCCCTGGATGCTGACCAGTTTGCTTCTGTGACATTAACCTGGTGCCTGAAAGTCTGAGTGTCGAGCAGGTTGACTCATTTACAGTTTTCCATTATGTAGCTCTAACATTTTATGTTGTTTCCTAAATAATAGATGTAGTATAGCTAGCCTAGTCATGGTAAAAAATACTGCTAGTATCACTCAGTGGCTGTGTAATAGTGTTCCTCACCTTGAGTAACCTGATATATGTTCATATGTTTTCTTTCTTTCAGTATTTTCTGTTTAATCATTCGTATGCCTTAGAAGAAGACTAGATTTCCTATATTTGGATGGGTCACTCCTTTTTGTCTCATTCTATCATTATTTGAGCATGTGAACAAGAAGTTATTCTACTGCTATATTATCATATATTGCAATTTATGTGAATTAATTCCAGTAAATAAGATTATTACCATATTAAATAGAAAGCTATAAAAAGATCAGTTATTCTATGAACATAATTGATATTCTTTTCTTTCTATAGTGCATTAGTAAATAAAGGTTTTAGACAAGAATTTTAACTAAGCATTATCTCAGAGATTACCACCTAGAAGCTTATGTGTTTAGGTGTGTTTTTGTCTGTGTCAGATGACTTTTAATTAGTCCAAAGCAAAATAAAAATCAACAAAACAACAACAACATTAAGAATACATTATGGAAGCAAATAGCCAATTTTTAATTTTTTTAATTCATTTTAACGATGAAAATAATCACATTCAGACAACTGATTTGAAGATGCCTGCATGTGTATTCTCTAAGTTGAACTCCATTTTATTTAATTACTTTTGAAAGCAAGGCATATAAGTGTAAAAAAAAAAAACAAACTTGATTCGGCAAGAGAATATATTTAATTGTTTTTCCTACGGTAGTCAGCAAGAAAAGGATTAAAAACTCAAAAAATACCTCATTTTAAATCTAACTTAAAAAATGTTAATACTTAATCTGTTGGCCAATCACTATATATGTACATACATATGTTTACCTATAATATATGAATGCATACACATATTTAAACATATATATGCAAGTAAACATGAGTGTGTATGTACACACATACATATACTTAGGAGAAATAGGCTACTATATTCCTTTAGCAAAAATGTAATAGTACTGTGTTGATTATGATATTTAAAACTCTTCAGAGAATGTGACACATGTGGACAAAATGTTACAGTAAGTCTTCTTTGGTAATTCAACTAGGAGTTGACATATCTCTAAGTATGCTCCCCTTTAGTCGCTCCTTCTTGTCATCATTCGAAAATTAGTCTGAATACAGAAGGCTATTTTTCAAGAAGACATTCATCAACACTTATTCTATTGTAATTTAAGTTCCTTTTTCTTTTAAGGAAATTGCTATTGAGTTATAGTTCCAAGCCATCCTTAACAGCACAGTTACTAAAACTGATTTTTCATACATATTCATAGGCTAAAACCTTAAAGACCATTGCAGATTTCAAAATGATACATCAATCAATGTCATAGATTCCTGCTTAGCAAACTAAAAAAAAAGTATAGCCTAATATTTTCTTTACAAAACTATTACTGTCCACCTTTATGCAAAACATTATCAAAACAACAATTTGTCATATATATAACAAACACACACAGGGTTGTGAGATAAGCAAACTACTAAAAGAAATAACTCTTTATTCAGCTTCCTGCTCTTCAAAGTCAATATACCTTGAGGCAAGTAACAGAGTTCTGAAAGCACAAAGTAATGTAGCCCTAACTTAGGATATTGTTGAACTTGATTTGGCCCAAAATAGTAGGTAGCAATGTAATTTTGCAGTGTTTCATATCTTCTCATGATCCCTTGATAACACATTTTTCTTACCTATCAACACCAGGACATGAACTTAACATAGGAAATTGTCGATCAAAGAGTTTTGTGTTGAAACACTATGGAATAAATTGTTTTATACAAACTTGTTTACTATTCTTTTCTAGTTAGAGAAAAAAATGAACTGAAAATCCAACATAATAGCAACAATAAAGAGAGATACAGCAGTATGATAAGGAAAAGGATACAAGTGTTTAACGACTGAACTTAAATCTTATTAACAGCAATATAATGAAACAGCTATTGAAATAACCTGATTGTCTTATTAAATAATGCATAGAAAAGTCTTAATTTTGATAACAGCACTATGGAATGCAGCTTTTTATTAGATTTTCCTTCTACCTGGAGAATGCTCAAGGCTCAAGAATTCCTGAAGTCTCATTCTAAATATAACCTTATCTCATACTTGCTTATATTTTTTATAAAGAATGTTCAAACTAATTATAGAGTGTTACAAATTTATGTCTAGCTCATCTTTATATTCCCAATGTCTCACATATATTCACAATGTCTTCTAATTAAATCAATAAGCATCAGAGTTGGCAAGAGTGTTAGAAATTATCTCACGTTCATTTTATATGTATTTTAAAAGATCTGAAAATGAAGTGTATTTCCCAAAGTCATACAGTGAATTAGGTTGAATTGGAATTGAAACTCATGTTTTCTTGGTCTCTGGCAAGTGCAGGATCTTTTTTTCATAACGTAATTTTACTTTCTTCTGGATGTTGAATGACATATCCTAGATCATAGCACAAATTACGACATAATAAACATTTGTCATAATATCCTATAAACTTGTTTGTTAGCCAAGTATCATATAGTAGAGGATGTTTGTGGAGGCAAAGATAGCCCTTCCAAGACCCTTTACCTTAAGCCCAATGTGGAAAATCTGTCAACAAAATGCTCAATCTTTTCTTTGCTATCATGACATATCTCTGAATTTTAAGCGCAAATTAGATTTCCTTCTACCAAATTATATCAAAAGATGTGTTAAACACTTTTAAAAGTGAAAAGGAATCTGATTAGCAAAGCTATATCATCATTTTGTTGTATTTCCAATACTTTATTCAAAATTATTTTGAAGATGTTTTCCATATAAAAATGGCATTTAATTCACTGCTGGAGAAGATAAATTTCTTATGGCATAACTTCAATAAAACTGGTTTCTGCAATATTCTAGTTATTATTCTGCCAAAGACATTTGGGAAACTGGAGGGAAGACCTAGACTCTATAGATATGAAGTTTCCTGATAATGTTAGCTAGTAACATGTATTGATTAAAAAGAGTAATGACGATTTTTATCAGGTAAAGTCTATTTATTAACTAGTATATGTGTTTACAGATCAAATCCATTTAAAATGCAGCCATCTATCTGCTGTAATATCTAACTGCAGATTTGTGTATACCTGTATAGGAAAGTACATATATACAATTCACGTATACATAAATACCAAATCCTGACCAGTATTACTAGATGTTTTTCTGCTTTGTTTTTCTCCTGAGAAATTTCAACTAAACGGACTCTGAGATGAATATATTTTATATATCTTGCCCTTTCCTCATATACAACATTTAGTAGGTTTAGGTAAAATGAGTGTTGAAGTAAAAACATCCCAGATGAATTAAACTCACCCTTGAAGGAATCCCTGTAGAGTTGGGTAAAGGCCAAAATTTGAAAGAAATGATTCATTTTGACTAGGAGACCATAGCGTCCAAATATAAAGCATATTTATAAGAGTTCTCAGATTTGTGCCAGGCTCCTTAATTGAATACTGCAGTTCTAATACGCAATGGCTAACAATTGTGAGGATCTTTATATGAATTTATAAGTGAATAAAATGTCATTTGCTTTTTGAATTTATTTTATAAGCCATTATACCCACAAAACATTTTTGTTTTATTGTGCTCCATTTACTTATTTCCATATTTGTAACTCAGCCAAACTACTTATTGAATTTAATATTTTCCATTATGATGGCCATTTTAAACATTCCAAGTTTCTTTTGACAGAGGATTAAAAATCTGTCTTTCTCTTCCTCTAAGGACACATAATTGTATTTTCCTCCAATTGTCAGTAGTAAATACAAGTTGAGTACTAAGAGTACATGGACTTATTTTGTAGTATTGCAAGAAGCTAGTATGCAAGAAGCTAGTGTTGTTTCATGTCTCTACACCTCTTCAAAATTACTTGGAAGTAAGTTAGAAAAAAAAGTTCCTCAAGAATTACAAATACATGACGAACTTATGTGCGATCAAATGCAGAAACAAATAGAAAGTAACCTAATTTCTATCTGTTAAGAACTGAGCAGCATCTGAGAATTTATTCTACTTACGAGGTAATAAGCTAGTTTGCTATAGTTTCATGGATATTAGGAGACAATATAAGACTCCTGGATTAGAGATAAAGGACTTTATAAATTACAGCAAAAACAGTAGCTGGAACTTCCTAATGATATGTGTTAGGTTCCCCATGTTTTCCAAGTACCAAAGAGGTGATCCAAAAGGTCCATCAAGGATGCATGCCCATGCAGTAGATTTTATTACAGGAGAAATATGAGCTTGCTTTTACAGTAAGCAGAAGCAAGCCTGGTCTTTGTCTAGTCTGAGGGTGACAGATAATGTAAGCTTACCTCATCTCTCAAGTTTAGTTTTTGCAAAAACAACCATGGGTAAAGAGTGGTCAGGGTCTCAAATTCTTCGTATGTCAGCAAAAACATGAAGAAATGCTCAAGGTCCATGTCAGTTGCCTCTCTCAACCCTTCCTTAGTAATTTTTATTAGCTTTTAATAAAGTTTAAAGTCTTCAAATTCTTATATTTCATAGTCCATGAAACTCAAGATACATATAGGTCTTTTAACTAGCATGAAAGAGGTTAACAAAATTTAAGGAATTGAGAATGCAAACTATTTTAGAGATTATTCAACGCTATGGGGGTTACTAAGGATTAGCCATAATTTTAAACATAAATTCAAATAGAAAAATACTAAGGAAGGCCTGAGAGGTCATTATCAGGAATATCTTGGTTGGTACCATTACGAACACAAGAAGAGAAATGTTCTCAATATGCCTAGAACCTGTCTGACACATGGTGCTGTAGAAGGTGGTCAGAAGATAATTAAAGCTGTAGCCTCTTAAATAATTTTAATAATTGCTATAAAAATCCAAGATATAAATAAATATTTTTACATGCTTTCCCTTTAGAAAGGTAAGGGAATAAAGAAATGTTTATTTTAAATAATCTATTATTGCACTCTAATTTATTAAAAATATAGGAGAGAGAATATATGTGTGTATACACACCTGTATTTTTTTTTAAAGTAATACTGTTTTTATTCCCTTACTGAAGAATTTAAACAGGTGAACATTACCTTAAGGCAGCACTGTTTTCTTATGCCATTTTCTACCAAGACACTAAAGCAGAGAAAACTAACTTTATTCAACACTTGTGTATTTTAAAAGGATAATGATTTCATCTAGTTAAAGCTGTCCTGGCCTACTTAGTTTATTTTGGGGAAGAAATTGCCTGCTCTCTCATGATAACATAATTTGTCACCTTGGAAATTAAATTACCCATCCTTGTTTACCTTGAGGAGTTGTGCTATGTAATACCTACTTGCTCTATTACTACCTTTATATCAGTATGTGCTCAATTTTATGAGAACATGTGTTGAATAATCAAACCCTGCTGGGAGGCTTAAATAGCACACAAGTCCTGTTCCCTAATCTAAGTTGAACTTGATAGATATATTTGGGGAGTTTAATGAATCTAAAAATAATTATCCATTTGATATTAGGATCTCATATGGTAACACATGCATCTCTAAGAAAAAAAAAAAGTTTATTCCATAGCATACTGACTGAACTCTAGCTTAAAATAGGTTGCATTTTCTAAATATTTATTATTGGCTTTTTGTGACATTCAATTAAAAAGATACAGCTATAGCAATTGTTTTGTTGAATGAACGTATTGGAGATCTAGCTGTAAATACCTTCAATTAGAAGTAATGCTTCTTATTTCTCTCTGTCCTTTTGTAAAATGTTGAAAACCTTAATTATTCCTCATTTCCTTAGAATTTAAACATTAAAACCCTTATAATTGCTTGTACTCTGTCTTTAATTTTATTTTAGAAGGCATGGTAATAGTCTTTCATAGACGGAATAGCTCTCAAAATTTATTGCATGAATAGATTTACAGAGAGCTTTTTAACTGAAATGATTTTTCAAATAAAAAAATAGTTGAAGGTGTTTAATGGCCTAAATAAGCAGTAATCAACAAATGAGGAATTAAGAGAGTCATTTTCTTCTTTTTTCTATGAATAAAAATATTCTAAAGAGTGTAGTTAGAAAAATCTCTCTGTGATTGCCAGCGAATAAGAGCCAGGAAGTATTTACTGACTAAAGGACTAAGTGTGAGCTGTAAGACCTTTTTCTTTTTTTTTTTTAGACAGAGTCTCTCTCTGTCTCCCCAAGATCACTTTTTTTATAATGTAGCATTCTGGGCTAGATTATGCCTCTCCAAAATTTATAGATTGAATTACTAATCCCAGTAATTTAGAATGTTCAGATTAGGTCATACTGGAGTAGGGTAGACTCCTAATTCAGTATGACTGATTCCTTATAAAAAGGGGAAATTTGGACACAGACACCTACACAGGGAGAAGGCCATATGAACACCAAGGCAGAAATGTGCTTAACAAGCCAAGGAATGCCAAAGATTGCCAACAAACCACCAGAAACTTGGAGACAGGCATAGAACAGATTATCCATTACAGTCCTCAGAAAGAATTAACTCTGCCATGCTCTACTGGAACTTCTATTGTCCAGGACTGTGACATAATCAATTTCTGTCATTAAAGCTAACTCAGTCTGTGGTACATGATTTTGCTATAGCAGCCCTAGAAAACTAATTCCTTTCTCTTTTGAAAAAAAAAAGTTATAATTCTATATTATTTTTGGGTTGTATAGTGCTTTCCATACATTGTTACAGGCAATCCTCCGAATAATCTTTTGAGATGTTCAGGCTGGGTATTCCAGTTTTTTTTGAGGGAGTTTCACTCTTGTCACCCAGAATGGAATGCAATGGCACGATCTCAGCTCACTGCAACCTCCACCACCCCAGTTCAAGCAATTCTCCTCCCTCAGCCTCCTGAGTAGCTGGAATGACAGGTGCGCACCACCACGCCTGGCTATTTTTTTGTATTTTTGGCAGAGATGGGGTTTCACTATGTTGGCCAGGCTGGTCTTCAACTCCTGGCCTCAGCCTCCCAAAGTGCTGGGATTACAGGTGTGAGCCACTGCACCCCGCCCAGGCTGGGTATTCTTATCCTTATTCTACACGTAATTAAATTGCTCCTCTGGCAATTTAAGAGAACTGGCAAAGTAGCGGAGCTAATAAAAAGTTCAAGAAAGATTGACACTAAGCTGTCAACACAAATTCTATGCTATTTGTTAAATCAAACGGTAACGTGTATTTTTTAGTATAACTGTTATTTATGTTTTATTGATTGATTGATTGATTGATTGCCTCCGTCAGAGAGAAACCTCATTGTATATATAGTGTTCCCAGAAGAGGATAGCTAATAGAACAGGAAAGAATAAGGTGATTGCTGGATGTAGATGCTTAATCGTCTTGGCGAATATCTTTCTCTATTTAGATTAAAACCCAGCATTCTAGTTAAAAGTAATTTCTAATAAATCTCATATTCTGAGAAAGGAAAAACTAAAGATTAAGGGGGTTTGAGTGAAGTTTTTCCTTAGCTGTTATATTTCTCTTCCTAATTGATGTAGTACAGACATGTAAACAGCAGACATGAGTTTTGTGTGAAGAAAAAACTACTCTCACAGGCTGGAAAATCAGACTTCAAAGATACAAGGCTGAGTCAACGTATTGTTTGTGGCAAACTGAGAAGAAGAATTACCCCGGTATCCTGCATAAATATTTCTAAACATTATTTAAAAATATTTTGCGTGTAAGAATTCCAAGAATCCATCATGGTGATCTTCATGGTTATGTAATGGAAGGAGAAAGAAGTAGCTTTAAGAAATGGAGTGTTGAGATATTAAGTTAAGATGAGAATTGAGAAATGCCCGTTGGGTTTAGTAATGTGGTGATCACTGATAAACAAAACTAGCAGCCATGACCTGATCAGAAACGGAAGAACAAGAGAAAACAAAGAAATGACTTTTTTTTTTTTTTGAGATGGAATATCACTCTGTTGTCCAACCTGGAGTGCAGTTGTGTGATCATAGCTCACTGCAGCTTCAAACTCTCCGGCTCAAGCAATTCTCCTGCCTCAGCCTTTTGAGTAGTTAGGACTACATGCTCAGCTAATTTTTCATATTTTTTAGAGATGGAGGTCTCACTGTGTTGTCCAGGGTGGTGTCAAACTCCTGGCTTCAAGTGATTCTCTCATCTCAGCCTCCTGAGCAGCTGGGACTATAGGCCTGAGCAACCATGTTCAGTTCCATGAACTCCTTTTTAGTTTGAATAGCTGGAACGGGACTTACAGTTACTGCTACTGACATCTTATTTTTGAGTGGTGGAGTCAAAGCAGCAGTTTCCTTGTCAACTGGGCATAACTATTTGAAGACTCTTTGAAAGTACAGTGGTATATAGTATGTGAGATTAATTCATATTTTGCATCTGTGTAGAAAAACTATGGGAGGGTTATGATCTAGAGGATAATTTAGTTAACTATTTCTTTACGCTAATCCTGATTTCCACAATTCTTTTTAAACAGGAAGAAACAAAAAGTCTCAGAAAGGGCAAATATTGGCTTCAGGGTCACACAATTAACTCAGATCACAGTCTGTAATAGAGTGCAAAATTTTTTCATGATTAAAAAGGCCAAACTTGCCTCAATGTTTTCATAGTTGCTGGGTTAGAATTAAATGGTACAGTACATTTTCACTAACCATCATTTCTAAGATACTTTGTTAACAATAGTTGTCAAGGTCTTTTATGTAAGGTTAGGTGATATATTCCTCACTGATGTTATGTTAAGAAAAAAATTATCTCTGCAAGTATTTGCAGGATATTATTTTTAAATTAATTTGAAGATCATATTTTCTTTTCTCTTAGTTTTCAGAGAATCTTAAGCATGTTTCTAGCACAAGATTTTCTTTGTTTTGTGTTGTTTTGCTTTTTATTGCATTCAAATGCCTTAAAAGCATATGTTCCGCTTCCTTCAGACAAATAATTTCATTGTTTGAGTTTACTTTTTAATTATTTAGTTTTATATTTCCTAATTTTTTTTTTTTCATCTCTGAGTCTTTTTAAAAAAGGTATAGATCAGGCTCACACCTGAAATCCATCATGGTGGTCTTCATGGTTATGTAATAGGAGAAAGAAGTATCTCTAAGAAATAGAGTGTTGAGATGTTAAGCAAGATGGAAATTGAGAAATGCTTGTTGGGTTTAGTAATGAGGTGATCACTGATAAACAAAACTAGTGGCCACGACCTGATCAGAATTTGGGAGGCCAAGGCCAGAGGATAGCTTGAGCTCACAAGTTCAAGACCAGCCTAGGAAACATGGAGAAACGTCCATCTCTACAAAAAATACAAAAATTAACCAGGCATGGTGGTGCATGCCTGTGGTCCCAGCTACTCAGGAGGCTGAGGTGGGAGGATGGTTTGGGCCCTGTAGGCGGAGGTTTAAATGAACTGCTCCGCCTGAACAACTGAAGGAGACCCCTGTCTCAAAGAAAAAAAAAAAAAAGAAAAAGGCATAGTAATCATCTTAAATAAATGTAACAGCTGTGTATTTTTATTCTACATCTTCCCTCTTCTAGAAACTAATGGAAATTATTCTACAACATATGCCTTTAACTGTAACTTATTTTTTTTCCCTACCTTGGAATGAAAAACCTGACTCTTGCTGTTTATTTGAACAGATTTTTTTACTGAGAGCATTATATTCCAAACTTCTTCAATAATATCAATATCTTAAATGCTTGAAAATAACCACACTATTAAATGAAAAAGGTGGAAGTGTGGGAAAGTAAAAAAAGTGGAAATTATATGATGCTTGCATAATTTTGTTACATGGATTTATTGCATAATGGTGAAGAAAATTTATATACATAAAATAAAAACAAATACACAAATAAATAACTATCTTGTATACTTTCAAAAACTTCAGGATACTTCTAAATCACCTCAATTTATGAATATAAATATTAATAAAAACTTTCATAAATGGTTGCACTTCTGCATGCCTTTGTGTCTGGTGATAATTACTATCACTGGGATACTCAATGATCAAAACTTTTATGACTTTGAAAAATTCTGTCGTGTTTTTTGTCTAAGCATTAATCACTTTCAAGGAAATCTTTAGCAAATGGGTATATCCACCTCTGGAGAGCTTTTCGGTATCTAGTCATTATATTTTATTTAATTTTTAAGAAAATTAACCAAAAGATTTCTAAAATACTGTAAGCTTTGTGCTATTTTTTGAGAGTAAAAATAACCCCCATTTTAGCTTATCTGCTTTAAGATATGTTCTAAAAGCACAATTTATTTGAGATGATTGAATATAGAAATTCAGTCCATATATATGAAGCATGAAATCTAACATATAATCTTTCATTTTGTAAAATGAAATGTTTTTTATATTTTGACATGATTTATTATTTGGAAGCTGCTAAGCTATCCAGCTGTATGTGCTCAATCTAAGATTTCATTTGTTAATGAAGTTTTATTTTGTCTTGTTAAAAGTTCCATTTTCAATATTATTTTAATAGAATTTTTAAAAAGTCCTTTCAAATCTCCTCAAAGAGCAACTTTTCCTGGAAAAAATAAAAATCGAAAGCTGTTGTTAAAGTACAAATGACATAAGGTTACAATTACATTCTATTATTATAATCCACTCCTTATCTCTACAGGCTAAACGTGAGTACATTTTAGAAAAAAGTAGCAAGAAATAATTTAGCTATTATTTCCTAGATTTGTAAATAGTAAAACAAACAAAACAATTAATTATCTTCTAGAATTTAATGTAAGAATGACAGCCCCAATTTTTTAAGCATTTTCCAAACACTTCCATAACTTTTCTGCACATCTTAATATCATTCCTTCTTCTATATATTAAAAATTGGTCAGAAAGACATTATATAGGTTCTGTGTGGATTTGTAGTTTTTTCATTAGTAATGTTAAATCATACTATAATCTGGCCTGAGAAAGACTTTGTACTCTCATACTCGAGTTCTTACTTATGAACTACAATCTTACTTAGCAGGTTAACAAACAAAAATTCTAACTTAGGAGTATGCTTTTGCAGCAATAGTTGAGCCTCAGCCAATCACAGCAGCCACACTTCAACCACTCAAAGGCAACCAGCTGTTCAAACCATGTTCGAATAAGGAAATGCTTAGCTGTAACATATCCAGCTGTCTCTGCACCTCACTTCCACTTTTTGTACATCACTTTCTTTTTTCGGTTCATAAATGTCTGTCCATGCAGCACCCCTAGAGTCTCTCTAAATCTGTTCTGAGTCTGAGGGCTGCCTGATTTGTTCATCTTTTTTTCTCAAACTCTGTTGAGTTTCATCTGTCTAAAGTTTTACTTTAACAGATCTGGTGTCTGAAGTAAGGATCAGAAGTAAAACTCCAGTGATCCCCAGATCACCAGGCAGCCAGGCAAGATACCCATGGCGACAGTGTGCTTATGCCTCTCTTGCTTGTAACTGGAGGTCTTGGGTGAATTTTCTCTCAGATTCAGAGCTTTACTCTTCTGTTCTCAGCTCTCTGAGTTTATTTTAGCAATATTTATACTAGACTAGGTCCAGGATCACACTGGATGCTGTAATGAACTTCATTGAATTAAGTTAGAGGGCTCAGACCTTGGATAAATACTCTTTTTTGGGTATGGGATCTTGCTCTGTTGCCCAGACTGAAGTGCAATGACTAGTCATAAGTGTAATTATATTGTACTACTGCCTCAAACTCCTGGGGTCCAGAAACTCTCTTGTCTCAAGCCTCCCAAGAAGCTGGGACTCCAGTCATGTACCACCCTGTCTGATATGGTACCATTTTGATAATGGGTTTGTCTTAATCCATTGAGAAAGTGGGATGCCAACTTCTGGGACTCTAGCTAATAATATATAAAACAGTCCAGGAGTGGTGGCTCACGCATGTAATCCCAGCATTTTGGGAGGCTGAAGTGGGTGGATCACCTGCGATCAGGAGTTCGAGACCAGCCTGATCAATAAGGTGAAACCCTGTCCCTACTAAAAGTGCAGAAGTTAGCTGGGCATGATGGCACATGCCTGTAGTCTCAGCGACTTGGGAGGCTGAAACAGGAGAACTGCTTGAACCCAGGAGGTGGAGGCTGAAGTGAGCTGAGATCGCCCCACTGCACTCCAGCCTGGGTGACAGAGCAAGACTCTTCTCGAAACAAACAAACAGACAAACAAAAAACATATACAGGCCCAGAACATGTGCATGTTTAGAAAAATGGGTTAACTTTACTCGAGACAACGTAGAATTAAGATGGCCACAAATCGTGATGTGTTAATTCAGATGAAATTGTTTATTTGAGATAAATGTAAAAAAAAAATGGAGATAAAAACCCTAGCAAAAACAATAGAATGTATTCTTAAATTAATATGCAGAGGCATCTCAAAGACTGAATGAATAAAAAAGTGCCTCCTTAGAAGATTCTTTGCAAAAAGCAAATGAAAAGCTTAAGCAACAGACTAAAGACATGATGGAGGACAGTACTCTGACTGAGCTCTGACTGAGCACTGACTGTTCCTTCTCTTTTTCTGTCTCTACCTATGTACTCCAAGTCTACTAACCATTCTTCTAAATTATCCTTCCATTCTGAAGATTATGAACAAAGAAAAATTAGACAAATGCCTTACACAGTAAGACCTTCTGATCAGCCAGTTCTTCCTGACACAGCCTCTTTTACTCCATGATCTAAACTGAGCTTAGAACCATTGTAAAGTATTTCCCTGATCCAAAGGAAAGCCTCAAAACCTTATGGTAGGATTTAAAATCTTCATAAGAGCTTATGATCCTGGACTCCATGACCTTTACCAATTTACTCACATGATTTAGGGGCTTGGGAAAGCTTGAAACTGGATGGCAGCAGAGGTATAGGTCAAACCCAAGGAGGTTATTAAAGGTTCCTCCAAAACCTCATGAAAAGTGTCAAAATGAGCTAGAAAAATTGCTGAAAACCTTTTAGATTCAATTCCAAAATTTTTCCACAAAGAATTGATTGGTCCATTATACAGTCATGTAAACCAAAACCAAAACAAAACAAAAGATAAGCCAATTTTATATTATAAAACTTGCTTAGAATCACTTCAAAACATTCTGGGCTCCAAGAATAGCAAGGAGTATTTCCTGAAGGGACTGAAATGGCATTAACTGCTCTATTTATGACTCTGTCGTGAACTTAGCAGTTCAATTAAAAAAACATAAACTTGGATGGGAAGTTCCAGATATGACTGAATTGCTGACCTTAGCTGAACATTTGAAAGGACTCTAGAGTGTAAAAACAAAAAACAAAAAACAAAAACCCAAAAGTCTAACCAGCTTATGTCTCTCCAATTACAAGAGTTAAGGGGCCAAGACCAAAGGGACCTTCTCATCCTTATTTTAAATCACAACCAAGAGGTCCTAGAATAAGAAATTTTTTACCCTGAGATGTCTTCCTTTATTGCAAACAACCACAACACAGAAAAACAGATTGTCCATTTTTATATAAGTCCACCAATAAGCCTCCCTTTAGGCCAGATGGTGTCACCACTAGAGGAAGCCCAAGATATTTAAGCTCTCATGATAGTCGTGAACATTGATGAGGATTGGAGGGTTTTGTCAGTAAATTGGTCCACAGAGTATCCTTAACTAAACATAACAAAACAAAGATTAAAATAAATGAGGTATCCTGCACAATCATATTAGATACCAAGCCACTTTGTTTACCATGAACTCCACTTTAATAAACCAACAAATCCCTTAGAGTAAAAAGGTCATTTCTGTGGTGAGAGTTTTGAATTAAATTCAAGAGTTTCCTATATCTCAGCCAGTCTAATTGACTTTGGGGCCATTTCCAAGAAAACACCTCTTTTTATTATGTTATACTGCTCTAGTAAACTTGCTAGTGTAAGACTGACTTTCAAGCCTGAAAGGGCATATAAAATTCTCCTCAGAAGGAAAAATAATCTTAGAGTTTTCTGATTTTCCTGAACCGGAACTGTTATGCTCTCTACAGGCAGAAATGGGCATCGCCAAAACTCAGCCTGTAATACCCCTGACCCTTCTAAAGTACCTGAATGTTTATGGGCTTCTTCCTCAACTGATACAGAAATAATTAATAGTGTGGAACCTATACAATTCATAATAGATTATTCTAAACATTTGTCTAAGTTAACCTAATATTTACGAAATCTAAAGCAATTCAAAGGCTGTCACCAAATGTAGAAGATTTAATTAAATAAGGACTTAAAATTCCACGAAGCAATCCTTGTAACACTTCAATCCTACCAGTTGAAAAACCAAATGGTCGACGTTGGAGATTCCTTTAAGATGGACAGGCAATTACAATTAATAAAATTGTAATACCAAAGTTTCCTGTAGTCCAAATCCTAATATATTATTACCTAATGGATCCACTGATTCGAAGTGGTTCATGGTAATAACCTCTGCTAAGTCTTCTTAGCATTCCAGTTCATAAACAGAGTCAATGCTTGTTTGCTTTTACTTGGAAAAATCAGCAGCACACCTGGACTGTAGTGCCACAGGGGTGTACTGAAGCCACTTTGCATTTTTCTCAGGCATTGCATCAGTACTTAATAGCCCCACTGTTTTCTTGAAATTCTATTCTTATTCAGTATGTAGATCACCTGTTGTTATGCTCCCCCACTAAAGAAGACTCAGAAATTGACTCCATTTGCCTTTTACAGCAACTCACACATAAGGGTCACAAAGCTTCAATAGAAAAACTTCAGTTTTCAAGAAGAAGGTCCACTAATTGAGACATGACTTGACTGCTGAAGGTATTTCACTTTCGCCTAAGAGAATAAAAACTGTTTAAAGCATTTCTCAGCCTGCAACCAAAAAACAAGAGGTTCTCTTGGACTTACTGGATATTACAGATCATAGGTTCCAAAATTGTCCTAAATGACCTCATCATTGTATGAACCCACTAGAAATGCTGTACCAGAGCCATTACCTTAAGAAGACAGTCATGAGCAGGTTTTTAACCAAACGTAATTGGTCTTACAATAGCCCCTAGCTTTAAGACTAGCAAATTATACTAAACCTTTTATTTTATTCATTTATGAATGTAACAATCAGGCATTAGGAGTTCTTATGCAAGAATATGGAGAAAAACAGGGCCATTACATATTTTAGACTTCAGCTAGACCGTGTAGCTGAGGCATAATCCCAATAATTTAAAAGCAGTAGCAGCAGCAAAGTTGGTAGAATCTTCATCTGAGCAGGTTTTAGGAAATGAACTTGATTTGCAAGTCCCACATGCTGTGGAAAGTCTATTAAATTCCAATGAAACTCAGCATTTTTTCAGCAAGATCTTACAAAATGTTTCTCCTGTCTTCTTCTAATCTCTATCTAAAATACTGCAATCTACTTAACTACTATTCTATTACCTCTGCCTAATGATAGTGAAAACCACAATTGTGTAAATGTAATGTCAGAAATAGTGACCCCTCAGGTTGACTTACAAGATATTCTATTGGGTAATCCTGAGTCACTACATTTTCTTGATGGGTCCTGTGCTAAAATCTCAAAAGGAAAATGTCAGGCAGGGTACGCTTTTACCACCTAAAATGAGTTAATAGAAAAGGGAACTCTTCCTCAATATAAGTCAGCTCAACCCATGGACCTTTTTGCTCTCACCTGAGCTTGTTATGCAGCAAAGGACAAATAAAATATTTTATACTGATAGTAGATATGATTTTGCAGGAGTACATAACTCTGGCATGCTATGGAAACAAAGAATTCTCATTTCCAGTGCGTCCCTCATCAAAATTGGACTCCAAGCTGATGAACTTCTCTGTGCAATCCTGTTACCATCACAGATTGGCATTATTAAGATTGACTGTCATACCTGTAGAACTAAACCTGGCTATTAAGGGAATGCTTTAGTAGATTTTTCTGCTAAATCAGCTACTGCAGAAATGGTTAGGATATACAACCTAAATGAACTCCATAACATTTGTTCAAGTCAACACCCTTATGATGACCTATTTAATAAACAGTACAATGCACCTGATTTAGAAAAGCAACATTATCTAAAAGAGTGTAAATTAAGTGTGGACTCAAAGTCTCAAATGGTGTCCTGGTCCTCCCTGAGTTTTTTAAGCTTCCATTGTCAAAAGCTTTGTACTCCAAACTCATCATGAAACAGAAAATAATGCAAATTATAAAAAACTACTAATGGGGTGACTGTTCCAAAATTTCTAAGAGTTCATAATCGATGTATGGTTTATCAAACTCATAATCCTAGGAAAGAATAAAAACTTTAAGTGGTGTATTTCTGCCACCTGATGGACCATTTGTCATTCGTGTGATATTACATTTACAGATGGACTTCATTCAGTTGCCACGCTCAATGGGATATCAGTGTGTTCTTGTAATAGTCTGTATGTTTTCTGGTTAGGTAGACACTTTCCCATGCAAGAAAGTCAATGCTGTGACAGTAGTTAAGAAATGATTAGAAAATATATTTCCATCATTTGTCATTCCTGGAGAAATGCTCAGTGATAAGAAAACTCATTTTACTAGTAAAATTATACAGCAGTTAAATAAGGTGTTATGGATGCAATGGTGCTACCATTGTCCCTATAACCTTCAGTCTTCTGAAAGGGTTGAAAGGAAAAAAAATGGCATCTTAAAACTGAAACTGGCAAAGTTCACTGAATCAATTGGGTTGCCTTGGCCAAAGGTTCTGCTGCTGGTTTTAATGGCAATCAGTTGGCACTTAAGACCTTACACACTCAAGAATTCAAGAAAGTCATGGGAAGACCTATTACCCTAATAAAAGAAACTCATGCATCCCCTGTTCTCCTAAACTGATATGACTAAATACTACAAGACACTAAATTGTTGTACCAAAATATACTTTTACCAGGTAAAGGAAGCTTTTTGTGATCCACCAAATGATGATAAGAAAACTGTTCATGATATAGAATCTGGAGATTGGGTCTTCTGAAAATGATGTGAGAGAAAGATTGCCCTTGGACCCTGTTGGAAGGGACCATACCAAACTTTTCTCACCACTCACACTGCAGTAAAGCTTCAGGGCTTCAAACCTTGAGCTCATATCTCATAGTTAAAAATAATCTTTAAAGAGTCTTAGAACTTTATACCTATTGGAGACTTTAAGGTAAAGCTGACCAGAGAAATTTCTCCCCAGAAGCATACAGTATCCTAGATGTGGTCAGCTTTCCCAAAATCACAAATGAAGACTTCTCTGCCACCAAAAAAAAAAAAAAAAAAAGCCTATGCCTTTTTTTTCCCCTTTTGTCCTCATTTCCTGCTGTCCTAATGCTTTCTTTTACACTAAAGTACATTCCATGGGACCATGTTAAGTGGATGGCTTTTGCTCAAGTTTATTTCTTAGCATAAACCATAGTAATTGTTGTCTGGGCTAATGCCCGAAAATTAGAAAACAATTTTATTGATATCAGGGCCTATTCACATTCCCAATGAGAGTCACTCTGAATCTCCAAAGGAAGAGTGGAATGTTATACTTTATATTCTAAATATCACTGCTACTTGCTTCCTGTCACTCACTTGAATACTCTAACTTTTCCAATTAACAGCCTAATTGTCATCAAAATAGAAAAACCTTTCTGAATGAATCCTACAAAAGGCATATGTGTTTTTAGGCATCATAAACTCAAGACCTGGGGATGACCTATGGGAGCACAAATTTCTTGTACAATGTCACTGTATTAAATTCATTCTTTTTTTTTTTAACAAATGTGGTTATATACTCTTACAGCTTGCTTTAAGGGGGACACAAAAAAGTAAATTTCCCAAGGACCTTCTTCAAGAGCTATAAAAATTTATGGATGAACAAATTTAACTGACCCCTGCTCAAATGCAACTAGATGGACCTTTTTTTTAACCCCTAAAGGCCTATATTAGGTTTACAGAGAATGTGCTTATTTTGTTCTGTCTCCTTGCTGGTGCAGATATTTCTATTTGGTCTTGCTTATTGCTGCTTTTAAATAGCTTTCCTTGAAATTTTTCGTAATAGCATCTATGATCAAAGGCCAAAACAGTTAATAACCAAAATTAACACCAAATTTGAAGTAGACATAGATAAGCTATTTCCACTGAGGAAAGTTTCTAGTGGAGTTTCTGGAGACCCACTCTTGGTGGTAATGGGATACTGATTGTATGGGGTTTAAAGTTAATCTGTAAATTGGGGAAAAATCTTGGATTTTGTAACCAATCAGACCTACCAGGTCTTCAGACAAGTAGAAGCGTCTCTTCAAAAGGTGTATAATAACATACACATTCAACAAAAACTCTTGATGGACCATCATGCAACTTTAGATCTCATTTTTGCTTAAGTTGGGGGCTTGTGTTTTGTATTGAACAAAACTGGATACTGTACATTTATTTCCCACAATTTTCTTACTGCAAAAATCTTAATTGAAAAGATGGCTGATGCTGCTATTTTCTTAGACACTGCCCCCAAAGACATTGAGGAAATCTCTCAAGAGAAAGGAACACATGATGTGTTTATAGGAGAACCTTGCCACTTATTTTTCAGGTATCCTAAATGGTGAATAGCAATCTTGGGTTTTCCAAGGATTTCCTAATTTTTATATTTCTCCAGGTTTTTATAATTTGTGTTATGAGGCTAACTACAAAAATGAACACCTCTTTAGGTCAGGTAATTTTACACTAAACTATAGTCCTTAACTGCCATTACACCCTGAACAAGGACTATGACCAATTAGGCTCAAATGATGTTTAATTGTCTATATTGCCTGAATGTTGACTTCTTTGATTTCATTTGGTTTGTTTCATAAGAACTGTTGTTATGGAGTATATTTTGGTCATTTGATATCTTCTTGATAGCCATCATAGTCAATCATAGTTTCCCTGGTGTAAGTATCCTGTTGAGCTTTAAGTGTTAAGTGTTGAATTGTCTCATTTCAAATAGGTCAGTAAAAACATAAGGAATTCTTCAAGTGGTGTGAAGTCATGACTTTTAAGTTCTGTACTAAGACCACAGACTTCTGAACTCCATGCTGATACCAAATAAGTCATTTAAGATGGTGACAGAGAGTAGTGTAAATGTCTAAAGTTTTGATGAATCTCTCAAAATTAAGAGGCTGACCAAAAGAGGGGAATTGTTAAGTCAAACTAAAATTAGGCCTGAGAAAACATCCATACTTGCATACTTAAGTTCTTGCTTATGAACTGCAACCTTACCTAGTAGGTAAGCAAATTGAAAACCTAACTTAGGAAAATGCTTCTATAAGAATAGGTGAGTCACAGCCAATCACACAAGCCATAGTTCAGCCACTCATAGGTGACCAACTGTTCAAATTGTGTTCAAATAAGAAAAATGCTCAGCTCCAACCAACCTGGCTGTCTGTGTACGTCACTTCAATTTTCTGTATATCACTTTCCTGTCTCTGCTTATAAATCTTCTTTGACCATGCAGTATCTCCAGAGTCTCTCTGAATCTGTTCCAGTTCTGAGAGCCGCCCAATTTGTGAATCTTTTTTTTTCTCTCAATTACTATCTGTTAACTTTAATTTTCCCAAAGCTTTTGTTTTAACAGTACTAAGTCATTAATTCTTTCAGAACCAAAAGGGAAATTTCAACTATAATTTACCACTTTTTGAATTTTTTCAATGTTGTTTCTATATCCAAATATTCTGATACTCTTGATGCTACCAAAAATTAAAAGAAAAACAAACTTTAAGCTCAAACCTCATCTAATATAAAATTATTAGGAAATAATTAATATATGTTATTTGAGTATATTTCATTATTATGTTCAGCACCTACCTATGCAACTCTACATAATAAGATATTTCTTGAACTAGTTTGGGGAAAAATTTTTTGGATATTCACATATCTTATAAAAATGTTATTTTATTATTATTATTATTTAGTCTTTTTGAGACAGGATCTCAATTTGTCACCCAAGCTGGAGTTCAGTGGTGTGATCTTGGCTCACTGCAGCCTCAACTTCCCAGGTTCAAGTGATCCTCCCACCTCAGCCCCCCAAGTAGCTGGGACTACAGGCACGTGCTATCACACACAGCTAATATACTTTTTTTTTTTTTTGTAGAGACAGGGTTTTGCCGTGTTGCCCAGACTAGTCTTGAACTCCTGAGCTCATGCAATCCACCTTTCTCTGCCTCCCAAAGTGCTAGGACTATAGGCATGACTGTTGCACCTGGCCTATTTTATTGTTTTAAAATATATATGGAAACTACAAAAAGTTCTAGGAAAAACAAAGAAGTAGAATAATTTTTAATTAATTTCTCAATTTTCTATAATAAAGCACATATTTCAATCTTTGAATACTAGAAAAATATTTATTTTCAAATTGTTTTAGACAGACACCTATATAGCTATATATTTAGTATAAAACTATTTTCTTCTAAGAATTTATTTTTTACAGCAGTTTTAGGTTAACAGCAAAATAGCAAAATTAAGAGGAAGGTACAGAGACTTTCCTTACACTTCCTGTTCCCACAGTTGCACAACTTCTCCCACTATAGACATCCTTCACCAGAGTACATTTGTTACAACTGATGAGCCTATAATGACAGATCATGAATCAAAGTTCATTGGTTACATTATGTTTTACTCTTGGTGTTATATAATCTCTGGAGTTGTTTACAAATGTATAATGATATTTTGCCACCATTATATTATTTTATAAAATACTTTACTTCCCTGACAAATCCTCTGTGCTCCACTTATTTATCCCTCCTCAGCACATCATTCCCTGGAAAACTAATCTTTTTACTATCTCCATAGTTTTGCATTTTCTCAGAGTGTTGTATAATTGGAATCCATAGTATGTTGTCTTTCAGACTGATTTCTTTCATTTAGTAATATGCGTTTGAGTTTCTTTTATATCTTTTCAATGGTTTGATAGCTTATTTCTTTTTAGAGCTAAATAATGTCTCATTAAATGGATGTAGCCCAGTTTATGTTTCCATTCACCTACTGAAGGACATCTTTGCTTCAAAGTTTTGGCAATTGTAAATAAAGCTGCTATAAACACCCATGTGCAATTTTTTTGTGTGGATGTAAGTTTTCATCTCCTTTGGATAAATATCAAGAAAGATGACTGCTAGAGCATGTATTAAGAGTAAGTTTAGCTTTATAAGAAAATGCCTGTCTTTGAAAGTAGTTGTGCAATTTTCCGTTCCCACCAGCAATGAATGAGACTTCTTGCTATGCCACATTCTCACCAGCATTTAATTTGTCAATGTTCTGAATTTTGGTCATTTTAGTATGAGTGTACTTATTATTATTTTAATTTACATTTATCTGATGACATATGGGATGACATTTGTCATTATTTAGCATCTGCATATCTTTGGTGATGTATCTGTTAGGATCTTTGGCCCATTTTATAATGAGGTTGCTCGTTTTCTTATGTTGAGTTTTAAGAGCTTTTTATATATTTTGGTTAGCAATCTTTTATCAAATATGTTTTTTGCAAATACTTTCTCCTAATCTGTGGCTTGTCTTTTTATTTTATTGACATTGTGTTTCACAAGCCTCAGTTTTGAATTTTAAGAAACTCCAGTTTAAGTATTACTTTCATAAAACTTAGTTTTGTATCTAAAAAGTCATCACCATACCCAAAGTCACGTAAGTTTTCTCCTAGGCTATCTTTTAGGAGTTTTGCAGTTTTGCATTTTATATTTAGGTCTATGATCCATTTTGAATTAATTTTTGTGAAGGGTTTAAGGTCTGTGTCTACATTCATTTCTTTTTTTCATGTGGAGGTCCAGGTTTTCCAGCACCATTTGCTCCATTGTATTCATTGTATTGCCTTTGTTTTATTTTTCTTCTTTTTTTTTTCTTTTTTGAGACAGAGTCTCTGTCATCCAGGCTGGAGTGCAATGGTGTGATCTTGGCTCACTGCAACCTCTGTCTTCCAGGTTTAAATGATTCTCCTGCTTCAGCCTCCTGAGTAGCTGGGATTACAGGCACTCACCACCACCCCCAGCTAATTTTTGTGTTTTTGTAGAGACGGTGTTTCACCATGTTGGCCAGGTTGTTCTCGAACTCCTGACCTCAGGCGATCTGCCTGCCTTAGCCTCCCAAAGTGCTGGGATTACAGGCGTAAGCCACTGTGCCCGGCCCTTTGTTTCTTTTTTTAAAGATTGTTTAACTATATTTGTATGGTTGAGAATATTTTTAAAGTATAAATTTGATTTGAAAATTTACACTTTATCCACAGGAAAAACGTACCTTTAAGATTTCCCTCAATCAACATTATCACACATTTCTTACAGTGCTGCTGTAACTCATGGGGTTATGTTAATAAGCAGAATCTAAATGTAATTGCATTTGAATGTATTTCTTCACTTTCAACTATAGCATGTTCATACTTTAAAACTTTGGGGTATTGATTTTTTTATTATTTCTATAGTAATTTTGAGAAAACTTTTAAAAAAGTCATAGAATTATAAACTGTTAATACTAAATGTATAAAAATTTGAACATATAAGTGTATACATTCTTATGATTTTCAAAAACGTGCACTAATTACAATACTTCTTCAAAGTTAGCAATTTGGCAAATTTCTTGTATCAATAAACTGTTTATTAGATTATGATTAACATAAAAATTCTGGTTACTTTATATGGCTTTATATGCTAGATGATTAATAAAAAGAAACTAAAATGAGGTATTTAGTTAGTCCTTAAGAGCTAACAATTTAAATTATATAATTAAAATGTCTAATTTTTATTAAATGTTTACCATTGCCAAGCACTATTTAAAAAGTTTTATATCAATTATTTTATTTAATACTCATAACAACTCTGTGAATCATTTTACAGATGAGGAAATCATAGCAACTATAGTTAAAATTACTTATCAAAACTGGCCGGTGCAGTGGTTCATGGCTGTAATCCCAGCACTTTGGGAGGCTGAGGTGGGTGGATCACTTGAGGTCAGGAGCTTGAGACCAGCCTGGCCAACATGGCGAAACCCCGTCTCTACTAAAAATACAAAAATTAGCCAGGTGTAATAGTGGCGGGTGCCTGTAATCCTAGCTACTTGGGAGGTTGAGGCAGGGAGAATTGCTTGAAGCAGGGAGGTGACAGCTGCAGTGAGCCACGATTGGGCCACTGCACTCAAGCCTGGGTGACAGAGCTAGACTCTGTCTCAAAAAAAAAAAAAAAAGAAAAATTACTTACCAAAATTTACACTATTAAACTGGAACCAGGATTTTAATATTTGTACACCGATTATATAGCCTTTCTTATAACCACAAACATGAATGCAAATATAAGCCAAGCCTTAATTTGAACACAGCTGAAAAATATTTTAATCAAATAACCATTGAAAACAGTAGTTTTTTTTTCTTGCAGATTGTCACATATAAGCTTTTCCTTGAGAAGGATTTGAGAGGAAGATGAATAGTAACAGAAAGTATAATTTAAAATAACAGGTTAATACATGAATGGCATGTTACTGCTAATTGCTTTTTGTAACTAGAACATACAGTTTGAAAAGGGTAGAAGTAGAAATAAAGGCCATTAAATATTGGTTGTATTCTGCTAAAATAGATAGAAAAGAGAATGGAGTTTATTATAAATAAAATAAGAAACCATTAAATACTTATTTTTTATAAACGAATGATTTTATATTTATTATATTGCATAAGCCAAAAAATTAAAAAGGCACAAATTTGAAATATAAAAACAATTGAGCATCTTAGTGATGGGATTCATTTGGACCCATAGATATGGTGTTTTTATTTTACTATAAGATCTGGGATACATGTGCAGAATGTGCAGGTTTGTTACATAGGCCTACATGTGCCATAGTGGTTTGCTGAAAGATATGGTATTATTTTAAACTGAAAATATGTGAACCAACATGAACTGGAGAGGTGGAGAGAAACCCTTATCTGAACTTCTTTTGTTCATTTAAACAAAGCTTCCAGAAAATACAGCCACCATAAATTCCCCCTCTGGGAGGTTCACAGCCAGGAAGGAAATAGACCACTCTGACCTGGATAAGAAATCATATAAACAAAACCTTCTGTAATGTCCACTTATTTTCTCCACTTGTTTCTTGTTAATTTCCTGCTCTCTGTTCAATTCCTAACCTTTCTTTTTAAAACCATATATAAACCCCTAATTCTAATTCTATTAGGAGCCACTTCTTTCTGCACCCTCCCATATATGAATAAACTTTATCTTTTCTTCTGTTTATCTTTTGTCAGTTATTTCATGAGCTTCCAATGGCTGAAGCTAAGTTGGTAGAGAAAAAGTTTTTTTTTTCTCCAAACATCCGATATATGGAAATAGAGTGACAAATATTAAGTAAAACACATTGATTCTTATTTTTCCACAATAGCACATTTCTTAGACATAGCAAAAGGAAAAGTTTCTTCCTTCTGAGAAAAATGCTCTTTGTGACAAATACACAAATACATACACACCCATAAATACATACAGGCTCCTTATCTTTGGAAACCGTGTTTCTAAAATGAAGTTATTTTTCTTCATGTTCACAATCTATAAGAATAAATAGATCAAATTATAGAAGCCCAATATCTCATCTATTAGGAAATTTATATCGAGCTACCTGGATTCTCCCCTTCTTCACATCTAACATATCTTTCTGAGGGATCCCTCCACTAGTCAGCTCTCACTCCTCAACTGCCTATCACTCCATCACTCCTCCACCCACTGCAGTCTGAGCTTTGCTTCCAAATAACCATTAAACCTGAGATTGCCAAGATTAAGAAAAAAAAAATACTCTACCTTCCAAGTTCAATTAATCTTTCTGGTCCATTTGTTGACCTTTTCTACTTTTTAATTTAAAAAGTGATAAATGCATTCTATAAGTATTTTTAATACAGAATTAAACAAAATTAAAGGTGAGCCATCCATATCCACTCTTCTTTTGATATTTTTAGAATTTTAAATATTTTATTGTTCAATAATAATCTTTTGAAATAATTATTAAAAATAGAGTATCAACATTTATCAACTTAGAAACAATTAACATGATTTATTTTAAATAAAATGTGTGGTATTTAATATGTCAGAGAGAAACGTACCAAAATATCAGTATTATGAATAATATTAAACTGTAGCAAAAATTAAAAATGCTATTATTGCAATGGCAGATTGGAAATTATCTTAAAATTCATAATTTAATACAATAATACATTTTCAATTGTTACTAATTTAGAGCATTTTTAGTAAAACTATGTGTCTGTTTATTAAGGCTTTTGATTTTTTTAACATAACTTTTTGTGTTGTTTTGAAGAAGCTGCCTTCTTGAACCAAAAAATGGGTGCTGCCAATTTTTTAAGTGTTGTTTTCATAGCCCAGTGGGTTCTTCCTGCCTGCTGTTCCCCACAAAACCAAGGAGAACAGCAGGTGTGGTGGTAAAGAATGAGCTTAATAAACACAGGGCTGGCTAAGAAAAGAGAACAGGAGAAATTTCTCAAATTTGTCTCACCAAGAATTCAGAAGCTAGGAATTTTTAAGGGCACTTTGGTGGGCACGGGGCTGGGGAACTGGAACAATTGATTGGCTGGAGATGAAATCACAGGGGCGTCAAAAACTGTCTTCCTGCAGCTTAGTCAGTTTCCAGGAGGAAGGTGGTTCTTAGGACTAAGTGACATCTCTTCGTCTATTGAAATGCTCAATCTGAAAAGTATCTCAAAGATCAATTCTTTAGGCTTCACAATAGTGATGTTATCTACAGGAGTAGTTGGGGAAGTTATATATCTTGCAACCTCAGGTTATGTAACTGTGTGGCAGCAACTGACTTATAGGAAAACACACTAAGCAATGGCAGCTCATGTTTGATTGTGCTTATTCTTTAGCAAAGTTCAAGCCCTTAGTGTAATTCTAACCTTGTCACATGAATGCAGCTTCAATCTCCAAACTAGGCCGGGTAGGGAGGGCAGCTTACCTTGCCTCAAAGTCTACCTATAAACTAAATTTCCCTCATAGTTATCTTGGCTTCCAGACTAGAATGGGCAAAACAAAAACCAACCAACCAAACAAACAAACAAAAAACAATTTAGCTTAACCTGTGAGGTTAGAAGCAAGATGGAATCAGTCATGTTAGATTTCTTTTTATTTATTTGTTTATTTATTTTTGAGAAGGAGTTTTGCTCTTGTTGCCCAGGCTGGAGTGCAGTGGCACAATCTTGGCTCACTGCAACCTCTGCCTCCCAGGTTCAAGCAATTCTCCTGTCTTAGCCTCCCCAAGTAGCTGGGATTACAGGCACGTACCACCACACCTGGCTTATTTTTGTATTTTTAGTAGAGGCAGGGTTTCTCCATGCTGGCCAGGCTAGTCTCGAACTCCTGACCTCAGGTGATCCACCTGCCTTGGCCTCCCAAAGTGCTGGAATTACAGGTGTGAGCGACAGCCCTTGGCCTTTCTTATTATTTATAATTCTGCAAAGAAAGTTGAATTATTCTGTTTTATACATTTGCAGAAGGATACAGAATTTTGGAATATTTTGAATTAAAGTTTTCTTTCCCTTTGTACACATTTATTTTTCTATACAGACTCATTTTTGCCAACAGCTAGCCTATTCGGTTTCATTGTGGTGCTAGGCTTCATCTACTTAAATGCTGGCTCTATTTCTACATCAAAGCTACTGTGTGAGAACATTTTCATGTACACACAAACCTTTAATTATCAGTATTCAACAAGAATTAATATGAGTTGTGAGAATATGGGCAACTTGCTCACCTCTAAGTGAGCTTCCCCATCTATAAATTGATGATAACAGTATTATCAAACTCCTAAATTTGTTGTGAGAAGTGAATGTTAATTCAATGAGTTGGTGGTCTGGCACCTGATAGGCACTTCGTTGGTGACTACAAACTATTAGAGTGTTTCTACTTTACAGAGTGTATATCCTTGTTCTCTGATAATTTGAACTAATAATAAAGATGATCCCAAACATATTTTGCTAACAGCCCTTATCATTTTACTTTGGGACAAAATATTCAAAGAACTTGAGAACCCATTATGTGTGATTCCTTCTTCCTGACCTTTACCATTCAGGATCTTAAAATACTGGAACAATGGAGATAAGTAGCTGTGTACTCCCTTAACAGAAGTTTAATTTTCAGTTAGTGTTACTCCTTGTACATTAATCTGTGATTGCAAATACACAAAACAGAAATGCTCTTTTTTAATCCTTCTTCTGCCAACAGATTAGTTTGTTTCTGTTTTATGTGTGTGGCCAACTCCTTCCTTATAGTAAATGAAAATTCTTTGAAAATTCTGACATATCGCCAATCTTAGTCTGGGTCATATTAGTGTCTGTTTTGGTATACTTAGGGAAAAGCTTAATAAATATATATCACAGAAGGAGCTGCAAGCCAAATGCCATTTTATTTTATTTTATTTACTTATTTTTTTGAGACAGTCTTGCTTGGTCGCCCAGGCTGGAGTGCAGTGGTGGGATCTCAGCTTACTGCTACCTCTGCCTCCCAGGTTCAAGCAATTCTTGTGTCCAAGTAGCTGGGACTATAGGCATGCACCACCACACTTGACTTTTTTTTTTTTTTTTTTTTTTTGTATTTTTAGTAGAGACGGGGTTTCATCTTGTTGGCCAGGCTGGTCTCGAACTCCTGACCTTAAGTGATCTGCCTGCCTCAGCCTCTCATAGTGCTGGGATTATAGGCACAAACCACTCAGCCCAGCCCAAATGCCATTTTAAACTGGTAGTTTAGTTGATTTTGTTTTTCCCGTGGTACAATAATATTACCTGTGTTTTTAAGCTCCCAATGCTATAATGAGTTGCAATGATATCACTTAAACCACATCATGTAACTTTTCACAGGGATATGTTTATAACATTTTATTTTCAGTATGGTTAAACTGCATTTTGTTTCTCATGCTTTCACATCACTGGAAATTAAGCATCTATAAAGAGCATCCTCATGCAACAACCTTCTATTTCTGGAAAATAGGTTATTTCATTTCTTAAGATCCCAAGATGAGATTTCCCTCTCTCACGCCATCTGGCAAGATAATAAGATAACATCTAAAATCAATAATTTAATATGATCCTGGCTAAAACCTAGCTTCAATGAGAATTAATGGCATATGGCTGAAGCTTAAGAGGGAAAAAAAAAAAGAAATAATGTTACTTTAAAAAAAGTACGTTCAAGAAAAATTTTGTTTTTACAAAAAGGGAAATAAAGTATAAAAAGACTGTGACATTTTCAACTCGGAAAACTGCTGATTGTATGTCCTGAAAATACTTTTATAGAAATCTCTTCAAAAATAAAATAGTTTGTGTTTAGTTGGCAAAGCTTCAATTTTTAAAATTGAATAATAAAGCAATATTTTAATTAATTAAAATTAATTTAAAGGTAAAATGAGACAAGTTTGTATAATAAATACATGGCTTTGAGTGAGCAAGGTAGTTTAAATGGAAAATATATTATGAAGACAAAGAAAATAAGAGCAAGTATGATAGAAATAAGTAACACAGATTCTGTATTTTTATTTCTATTTGACTTGTGCATATATTTTAAATCGAAATGAGAAAGGGGCATGTTTAAATGAATTTCTCAAGATGGATCCTAATCTCTAAACATTGTGTGTATTCATTGGGGGCAGGGGTGTGAGTGGGACTGATATTATACTTAATCATATTGTAGTTGAAAATAACATCTTTACGATTTCAATCCCTTGACATTGATTGAGGTTGCTTGTTTCTTAAAATTTAATTTAACTTAATTTATTAAAATGGACAAATACTAATTGCATACATTCATGGGTTATGTAGCAATGTTTTAAGACATATAATATTTAGTGATTAGATCAGAGTAATTAGCATACCCATCTTCTCAAATATTTATCTTTTTTATGTTGGGGATGAATATTCAATATCCTCCTTCTAAAGCTATTTGACACTATAAAAATACGTTTTTAACTATAGTTATCCTACAGTGGCATACAACACTAGAACTTATTCTTCCTTTGTAGCTATAATTTTGTCTCCTTTGATCCAGTATATTGTCAATATTTCAGAATGCTCTGTTTATGAAAACAGTGTCTTCTGCAGCTGTTCAGTGTGCAAGTTACATGTGTAGGTTAGGTCAAGCTTGTTATTTCTGTTACTTAAATTATGTATATCCTTATTGATTTTTTAAATCTGCTTTACCAATAACCTTAACAGTATGCTTGAATTTTTCACAAGAATTGTGGTTTTGTCTAAATATGCCTGTATTTGTTAATTTTCCTTTATACATGTCAATCTGTATTATTAGTTCATACAAGATTGGAATTGTCTTAGCTTTATGTTAGTAAAAGCTTTTGCCTTTTTCTTATATACTAATTCTCACCTATAGGAATTATGTTGCCTTAACCTTTCTAGGGTTAATATTTGTATGGCATATTTTTTCTGTAATTTTCCTTTCACACTTTCAGAAACCTCAAATTCTACATGTGTTTCTTAATAGTATAAAGCTATTTCTGTTTGCTTGTTTTGATTTTATCCATTGAAAAATTCTGTTTTTAACCGTAACATCCCATTTATGTCTATCATAATGACACAGATTTGGATTTAACCATAAAATGCTATCCTGTATTTCCTATTTGCTCCACTTGTTATGTTTTCTATTACATTATTTAAAAATCTTATTTACCAATTTTTGGTCCTGAAAATATTAGTATTCATACTTGTCTTTTTATCTCCGTAAAATCATGGTGAATTTATGTGTTGTCTTTCAATGCAAGGATCTAAGAATATTTTAACAAAAAACAAGATCTTTTAAAAATTAGATGCTATTCTTTTCAAATATTTAAATTTTCTTTCTGCTATATTTAGGTATAATTGACAAATTAAAGTAATACATGTACTGTACAATGTGATGGTTTGATATATGTATACATCATGAAACAATTACCATAAACTAGCTAGTTAACCTAACATCTGACTTTTACTACATTTCATGAAACATTTTTATTATTTTATAAAATGAGTGTTTGAGATATTTAGCTTTGTATTTGTAACCTTCTTTGGTCTTCATTTCTTTCTGTATCTCAGATTTTTCAGCCAATATGAGATTCTGCCAGGGGCGAATAGTTTTCCTTTCCTCAAACTGTATTTTGTCTGTTATAGATTCTATGTTTTCCAACTTCTTGCCTCTCTCTGCTACATTCTATTATTTTTTAGTTCTATCATCTAAGTTCCTCTCTTCTTTTTGATTGTGTCTAACTTGAAATTAAATACTAATTGTTTTATTTTTATATTTTTAATTTTTAGAAATGGTACTTATTTTTTGTAAATTTGTTTGCTTTTAAATTATATATATTATTATATTCTTTTATTTCTTGATATACAATGGAGTTTGATACTTTAATAATTAATATATTTTAGTTATTTTGAGTTATAATTCTGCTTCCTATGTTCCTGCTGATTCTTGCCTGTTGTACTTTTGTTTCTTACTTAGTGATTTTTAAAAAATGTTTTTCTATTCATTTTTCTTAATATTGTTTCTATTTAAATTTTTGAGACCTGGGATAATAGTTTTTTAAGAAATTTGGAAGAACTGTTTTCTGTAACTACTTTACAGTAAACTCTTCACATGTGTAATGATAATATAAATTAAGGCTGCAAACTTGTATAAGAGGCACAATAAGACTTCTCAGAAAGTGCTTTTTTCTCTTTTCCATAAAGTATCCTATGTGCTCTCTGCTACATGATCGGAGGTTTCTCCATTACTCTTAGGTATACTCTGGACTTGGTCTTATTTTTACCCTAGGCTCATAAGGCCACAAAACTTGATATTCAAGTCTATTCGGGGTCCAAGAGTAGAATGTTCTTGTTTTGAAAAAATTTAAAGTATGCATGTGTTGTTATCATAAAAATATATCTGTATTCTAATATCAAATTTAAACCAAGTTATAATATGCAAACTCTTCTATTAAATATAAGGGTTTTCCAATTGATGACAAAAAAAGGATAATTTAACTTTTTATTTCCAAAACCTATTTGTGTTTCCATGCATTATTGCAATAATAGCAATGGAGTGTACCAGCTCTGATGATTATAGAGGGTTCTTTATGCTAAGAGTCCTTAGTTTAGTGGTATGATTTAATAGTCATGTTGGAAAAATCGTGTCAGCTGCAGTGTAACATTAATTGAAAATGATGCAGTAATAGCAGTATTAGTTGAATGCCTCTGGCTAAATAGTTATAGTCCACAAGAAGCTCTCACACTATTGAGCATAAGAGTGTCACCCGAAGACCTAGTAAATCTGCCATTGCTGGATTCTAATTGGATAGGTCTAAGGAGGGATCCTCAAGTTTGCATTTTAAATAAGTCTCTAAGTGCTACTGGTCACTGTCTTAGAATACAGTAAGTAACTTGTAAGAAACTGATCTTAACCTACCCTTTCATAAGAAATATTAAAGAATGTGACTACTCATATCTACTGTCAAGTGGATGCACTGTCAGGGGCAACCACAGGAGGTACTGATAAAGAATTATATAAAAACGAACAGCAAAGTAAGGTTAACACACCTACTGATGCGAATCGAATAGCTGTTGATGGTTTACTGAGAGTATATAGTAATACTAGACTTAATTCTAGATTAAAATACTGAAAATCAGCTATAGCTTTGGAGTCACATGTGAGCTACCTGCATACATGCTCTTGGATTTATTTTGTTAATAATAAGCTTAACTATTTATATATTTATGAATAGGCATGTTTTCTCGGTTTTTGATTCATCTTTCCCCTGAAAACTCTGCAGAGTATTACATAAGCGAAGAGATTATCTCACCTCTCTTGGTTTGTTCTCCCTGCCTGTGTCTCCCCTGTCTGTTTCTGGTTCTTTTCTGTCTCCTGTGTTCTTTTCGGTCTCAACACAACAGATCAGCTCTTGCATTGGCTCTAACTACTTCATGGAGAGGTGAAGACAGTGACCTTAATGCTTCATACAAGCGAGTCAAGAAAAACCACAATGTCTTGCACAGACCTGTCTCAAGGGAGGATAGAAAGCCATTCCTTAGTTCTCCAAAGCCCAGGTTACATATTTATTACAAAACTTTATTTAACACTCAGTGATAAAAGGCTGGAAGAGCACCACAAAGAGAAAACTTAACATTTGAACCTAGAAGGTAATTATACTAACCTTCAGAGCTCAGGGGCAAAATCTTCTGCAGTAATCTCTCGCTTCTATTTCCCAGTCCATTCCAGGGTACTGTGCTGCCTCACGTTTTGCTTTTTATAATATTCCCAGCAGAATATCTCCAGTTTTCTGCCCATAGGTACATTAATCTTTACTTTTCATTTTTTTATATGTACATGGATCCTCTTTAACAGAAGGGCTTGATGGGTGTAGGAAAGAAAAGCAAAATTTAAGATGACTGTTGGTCAGAGATATATTGACTCTAAAAGTAATAGAGTTTGGCCTCTAGGCTCGTCCCTTATTATGCATGTTCCAAGGTTTTGGGAAGAATTCTAGCTCATGTCTATAAGTTTATGTAAAAATTAAAAAAATAAAATATTTTACCAGTAATTGGTTAAATCCACTGTTACTTTCCACTCTGTATTTTTTTTCCCTCCACCAGATCTCCTCTTATTTTTGGCACCATTGAAATCACCAGACTTGTGTGTGTATGTTTAGAAGGAATCCAGCCTGCAGCCTGGGCAAAATTGAGTAGGAGATGTATTTAGTTTGGACATAGTCTAACGTCACTTACATGCATATTTACCACTGGCTGTCCTCAGTTAGAAAATATTTCTAGGAATATTCCATCTGCCATTTTGCCACGAAGGTACTTAGAGACTTGAACTTGTAAGGGAGAAGCAGATTTTGAGATGAACAGTGTCAGAAGGCAGTCAGTGGAAAATTATTTCAATCATCAAAAAAATATGAAGATGTAAAATCAGAGGATATAGTTCTTAATGACGAATAGCCAAACCTGCCAGGAATAAACTTGGAATTGCAATGACGGGATTTAAGATTCAGTGTACATTATTTTCCTTTTTCTTTAACTAGGATCACATGAAATTAAATTATTTAGAAATCCTAGTTTTAGTTTTTGTTTTATGGAAAAAACTGGTAGTGATACTATGGAAATAAACCCAGCCCCCAGAACAAGCATGGGCTTTTATTGAGACCTTACTACAGCAAGGGAATAAGCCATTATCAATTGTGTTTGTCAGGCTCAAAGACAGACAGAAAAGAGGGAAGATTTTAAGCAAACAAAAGAGTGGGAAGAAAAGGAAAGGCCTTAGTGATGCCTCGACTGTGGTCTGTCTGCATGGAGAAGCTGTAGGCAGGATAAATAGAAGCAGGACATTCATTCTACATGAATGGTTAGGGGTGCATGCTTGGGTTTCCTTGGTTGGTTCTAAATTGGAAAAATGGGCAAAAATTATCTCTCAGTTATTAATCAGATCCTAGCCATTTGGGGTTCTTGTTTTGTTCTTGAACTGCTGCTAGAGATAGTGGGTCTGACTCCCTGGACTGGTTACAGTAGACAGTAGTTTGTCTTCCTGGTCAAGTTGCTACAAATTATAGATTAGAGTTCTATTTTATATGTATAGTCTGGCTATTGTTCATTTGTATTTTTAATCTCTCAGTACTATAAAGACTGTTTATGACTGACTACAAAGTCATCTTTTCTGCAGAGCCAAAAATATTAGAATATGTCTTCTGTATCTTATATATCTTGCACTAATGGCATCTGGCATTTTGGAATGCGTGTGGTGTTTGTCAACTTCTTTAAATTTATAATTTATTGTGATTACTTTCTCATTGCAAATACCATTTTAAACTAAAATGTGTATTCATAATTTTATATTTCTTGAGGAGCCCAATCCCTAGACTTAAAAGCTTCGAATCCAAATTTTTAGATCTGCTTCTGAAAGATTTTGGCTTGTGCAACTGGTCCATTTGGTGCTATTTATCTTTATGCAAATGACTGGTAGAAAAGAAGTTGAAGATCCTAATTTTCAATTTTTACTTTGACATTTTCATATTTAGCCTTGTATTAGACACTTAAATGAAGATGTCAGGTACTTTTTTAACTTAAGAGTCTGAATATTATGAAAGCATGGTATTGAACTAGATCACATTAGGAGCTAGAACAGATAGAAAGGTGAAAATAGCCTAGGACCAAGATTTGAAGCCTGTCAACATCTAGAAGTTTGATAGAAGGAAAAAAATTCATTTTAAAAAGAGAGAAGTTGGTAGAAAAGCACTGAAATTTTTCTGTATTGCTTGGATTCACCTTTAGAGTTAAGAGACCCTTTGTTTGAATCAAATATTTCAATGGGTCTTCTCTGTTCAAAGTTAAAATCAAGATCCCATTTAGGTATGTTCAATAGGGTGCTAACTGCTGTGCACGATAATATAAAAGGATTTCTTTATTGTGTGCCTGATAATAGGTAACATCTTTCAACTGTGATTGCCTTCAGGAGCTTTTTCTCCTTTATATAGATTTGTACTTTGCTGCCTGTGTAAATTGTTATTGGAAGCAATTGTATTGTCTCCAGGAGATTAGGAATAGATCCATAGGAAACAGGGCTTATCTTAAACTTGTATTATACGGGCACAGTGGAGTTGACCAGACTGATAATGTCAAACCATTCTGGACATTTTTACCATATTTTTTATATGATAGCAATCCAGATTGAATAACCCAAGCTTTGCAAATTGCACTATTGTCAGCATTCTTTTAGTGTTTTTTTTCCCTTCCTGAAAGAAATGATTATTTTACCTAGAAATTAAAAGGGATATTTACAATTCAGGATTACGATGGCTTGATGGGAGAGTCATTTGGTAATGAAGCAGGACCAATGAGGGTAGAAGCATTTGGGAAGGAAGCGGCACATAGGAGGGGACTGCAAACAGGATGAGGGGTTTGAGGAAGCTTTCCCAAATAAACTGACTTCCAAACTGAGAGCTTAATTAGAAAAAAAAAAGAGGGGGAATCACAAGCACGTGGGTGATATTTCTAGCAGAGGAAATAAACATAGAAATTCTACACAAAAGTGTGATTATAAGACTGTGTGAAAACGAGGAAAGGTAAGAAAAATAAAGCTGGATCATAGAATTACAAAACACACTACCCAAAATAATGCAGCTGCCGAGGTGACAGGGTTAATATCAGGTAATCTCTGTAGGGATATAGCATACAAAGTGTAAGAATTTAAATTTTTCATTAAAATTTTCTTTATTCTATTTTTAGTAATAATGATTAAATTACCTTGAAACATGAAACAACACAATGGAGAATGTGGAAATTCTGTTTGTCAAAAAATGTAATAAAATTGTTAAATTACATAATAATAATAAATAATAATAGCAATAATAAAATTGTTAATTGAAAAACAAATCTCAACATAAATAAGGAAAGACTTTATTCAAAGAGATTATTTCACAAAGCAGGGAAGTATAGTTGTAATAGGAACAATGCAAGGGCCAAGAGATCTGAAAGGATGTCAAAGGTAAGGCAAAAAGGTTTTTTCGTTGTTGTTTTGTTTTGTTTTTTAAATAGGGAGGAGTGAACAAGGTTAGAGGAAGTGGGTTAGGGGAAGTGGAATGGAAGGGTCCTATGATTAGACAGTTGATCAGGGAATGTGTTTTCTTGAAGTCAGCCCATTCTCTGGAGGGGCTATTAAGGAGGAATTGAATATGAGCTCAGGCTAAGGGCTGAGGGGTGTCAAAGTTCAGGAAGCTGGAGGAAGGAGAAAAGCTTAATTAAATTTGGTTGAGTCAAGGTAGCAGGTATTTTGTCCAGATCGTTCAGTGTGCCCAAATAGTACAATTAATCATTTATGAGGCAAAGAATGGTAATTTGCGGTGGGGAGTCAGGGGGTTCTGTGTTTGGCTATCTCATAGGTAAACAATGGGATCATCCTTGAGTTTTACTTAAGTAACATGGAGAAGGCTAGTTCCTTGCTTTAAGCCATTTCTGGAATACAAATAGGTGGGGAGAGTTTTTTGAATGTCACTGATTTCCAGAATGACAGGGCTCAAGTAAAGTTCAATTTGTCATTCAGGGAAAAAAAAGACAGACAAATGTGAACAATATAAATAGAGTTTTACAAAGGCCAAAATTCCTATGCTTAGGAAGTCCTAAACTCCTATGTTTAGGTGACAGACCAAAGCTATGAATCTGAGAAACGGATGTGTTAAAAGAATAAATATCTCATCACAATCAAAGGACAAATGTACTTTTAGCATGGGATTCTACAAAAATAAATAAAAAATGGTTAGTGAAAGTATAGATGAATTTTAAGATTTCAGAAGTAAAACAAATACGGTTTATAAAACGGAGCAGTGTAGAGTCATGAGAATGGTTTTCTGAATGAAGACCAGTTTGTTGAATGGATTTCTAATTAGATGTCAAGTATGTCTGTCAGGATAGCCTAGGATAAACCAAGGTCACCAACAGCCCCTGTATCTCAGTGACATAAAATAACGAAGCTTATTTCTTGCCCATGGTTTGTGTCTATTATGGTTCAGCAGAGAAGCTCCATTCATTCATATGTCCACTCAGGTACACAGGCTAACGAAGCAGGAGTCAACAACATAATTGTTGGTTACTGGATAAGAGAGGATTGTTTCAGCCCAGAAGTGATACAAATCTCTTCAGTTTATAAATCACAGGTTTTCAAACGGTCCCACCCCACATAAGAGATCCAATAGCACAATTCTTCAAAGAAAAAAGAAAGCTGGAAATATTTGGTGAACAGCTTTAATGGCTACTACAGTGCCCCACATATTCAGCTAACTTTCTTTCCTGTAGTTAGAAAATAAGGAGATACTTTCCAAGTGAGAGAAGCCGGCTCTCTCTGGTCAGGGCATCTAGCTCAAAGCCCAGGATTGTTTTATGATGTATGATTGTTTCTGTCTCAGGGGTTATGCTCAGCAGTCTCTAACTTGAGTCTGAATATAGCTTATTTTGCTCTGTACACCAAAATAAGTATTCTGACTGCATCCATCTGATATATGGGGAGAGAGCAGGGAGGGAATATCAGTAATACACACTGAGAGAGGAGAGTAATGGAAGACACAGCAACCAACAAATGTTCTGTATTTGTCTCCTAGGCAGAAATTATGAGTGCCCACTCCTTGGGGATGAGGATTATCCCCTCTTGAGAGGAGCTCCATGGTCCATTGCTTTCATGGCTCTCAAGCTGCTCTCTGGAGAAGACTTTTTTTTCCCCCCATTCTTTTACTTTGCCATATTTAAACAGGTAAAGTAGATAATATGGCTTCCTGGAGGTTGGGCATCTGGTTGTCTCAGCTTGTTTCAAGCCTGCTCAAGTATAGGAGTGCGAGGATGATTTAAAGTCCCAAATTGTCACAACTGTTTTTCAGTCCAGTCAGTACAATCTGCTAAAACATAATGCAGACCACTTAAGCCATTTAAAAATATTCCATTAAAAATTTTTAAAAAATAAGCAGGTAAAATTCATTTTCCTAATCTACGTTATTTAACCCAAATGTGTAAAATGTTATATTTTACAGTCAATATAAAATGATCATGAATGAGATATTTTACTTTTTTTTTTTAATAAGTCTGAAAGTGCAGGGTATATTTTACATGTACAGATATCTCAATTATGATGCTACATTTTCAGTGGAAACAGGTTTTCCAAAAAATAAAATTGTGTTTAACAAAAAAATTTAACATGCTTCAGGATTTTAATTTAAATTAATCAAAATAAAATTTAAAAATTTAATTTCTTTCATCACATTAGCCACGTCACACTCAATAGCTCCATGTGGCTGGTGGCTACCACCTTGGAGAGCACATATCCAGGACCATGGTTTTTTTTAGTAGTACAAATTTCTCAGAGCTATTCTTTTTGAGGTGCTGATACTCATACTCACAGTCCATTGATAAACATGCCTTTCTTCTATGTCTCTTTCTTGACATAATCTGCCTCTGTTACCTAAGAAATTATACTTCTAATTTCTTTTCACTTGGCCATTTTGTCTAAGGGAGAAGTGTGCCGGATGGTACCTAAATTCTTTCACATGTCTTACCAGCTGTTGTGGCAGCCATAACATTCATTTGAATCTTACAGCAAGGATGTATTCTAATCAGCCCTTACACTTAAAGGCCTTCTTAGTTTTGTATTTTATAAGTTGGTGATAAGAAACAGCTACATCTTTCAATCCTACAAGTCTCTGAATTTCTGGATTATTTTTATTCTTCCTTCTGCTTTCAATCATGCAAATATTTTCTGAGCTCATCCCTTTTTTATAGCAATTTGTCAACTATAGCCAAAACACACTGCTAGAATTTTGTTCTTCGATCTCTTTTCTAGTTCTGTTAAGTTCATAAAATATATTTTGTCTTATAGTGGTGAGAATTTAACTATTTTGCCACTGTGTAATAAGGATTGTCATACTTTCACTTTATGATAACAGTTTCCAACCACAAGCAGCCCACCCATTAGCCAATAACACATATGTTAATTCAATTTTATTACAACATATAAGTTACTCAGTGGCAGAGTAGGCTAATTCATGCTACATTATCAACACATCCATATCTCAGTGGGTTAAAACAAATGTGTATATTTCACTCATGCTGCTAGCCCCTCACTAGTCTGCTTAAGCATTCTATTTTTCTTACCTATTTAGGGATCTTGGCTGAAGCAGTAAACACTATCAACAAGTATTACTTCTTGTCATGCCAGAGGAAAAAAGTACTCTGGAGCATCTCAAACCAGCAATTAAACTATCTGGCTAGAAAGTAACATAGAACATTTCTGCTCACAATGCTTTTGTCAAAACAGAGGAGTCTCACATGTGATCCTAACACGTCAAAAAGAAAGTGGTAAGTCAGATATACTTGGTGATTAATGTTAATGAGTTATAACAATTAGGGTAACAGAATTCAAGAAAAAAAAACAGTAAGACAGATGTCTATGACTTCAATTATTATGGAAAATAATTCGAATAGACATTAATAGAATAAACTAGTCTAGATGGAATGAGCTTCAAAAACATTGTGGCCTTGTACATAAGAAGATGGAGGTCAAAGGTTTGGAAGTGACACAAAGTAACAAAAGTAATGCTGACTCTTTCCTTCTCCTCAATAAAACTCCTGACCTGGGAATTCCAAATGACATGGTGAACAAGTATTCTCCACCAAAGAGGGTTTAGGGGATTTCTAGTACTCAATTAGGAAAGAACAGAGAGATATTTTCTGTTACAAGCTTTTATAAGGAAATTATTTGCAATAGAAAGGGAGTTTCAAAATGCATGCTGAGGTGATTTTGGATGGAAAGCATAAGAGTAATTATATAAGATATAGAAAGAAGAACAGAACGGCCACTGAATTTTGTTTATTGTCTACAGATAAGAAACATGGGTGATATTAGTTGATTCCAGGATTCCACATAATAGTAAGAAATAAAGTAAACTTTAAAGTTATAATGTTCACAAAAATTATAAAAAAGTTCTTGTCTATAATTTCTGATGCCTTTGAGGAGATTAAGCTACAAGCTCCTAGTATTGATCTGTTTTATTATTTTTAGGGTGGAGATAACTCAAACTCTTTCTCTTTGTAAACCCACTAAAGGCAAATGTCTCATTGACCTTATCCACTAGTTAGGCACCAAAATTCAATCAACAGTACATGACAACTCTAGTGTAACTTCTGTCAGAAAGCTTTCCTGACTTAGGCTGACAATCATGACCTCCGAGCTCTTGCAGCTGTATGGGCCTACATCACTTACCTCTCCTTCTCCTTGAACTGCTCAGTTGTCTTTCAACGTAGCAGCCATTTAAAAACAGACATTAGTTTGCACCACATCTTTACTTAAAACTCTATCATGGGTTCCAGTTTAATCTCAGGAGATGCAATGCCAAAGGCCTCGCAATTGCTCACTAGTTTTTACATGATCTCATCTCCTTTTTTCCCCCTTGTTCATTCTGCTCCTATTACCCTGACCTCTACATTTTTGATTACATTCATTAGGTGCACACTTGCCTTAGGGATTTTGCACTGGCCTTTTCTTTGCCTGGAATACTCTCTCCTGAGATATCTATGTAGCTAACTACCTCATGCTTTTCAAGTCTTGCTAAAATCATCTCTTTTCAAATAAATCTTACCAACACAGTTTAAATTGCAGTGTTTATAAACTGGAACACCTTTATTCCATTCTATTTTTTCCCTATTGTAATTTTCAATTTCTCACATGCAATTTAATAATCTTATATTATTGTGTTATTCTCTTTTTTTTCTTTTTTCTTTTTTGAGACAGAGTCTCGCTCTGTCACCCGGGCTGGAGTGCAGATCTAGGCTCACTACAAGCTCCACCACCCGAGTTCACACCATTTTCCCATCTCAGCCTCCCAAGTAGCTGGGACTACAGGCACCTGCCACCACGCCCGGCTAACATTTTGTTTTTGTATTTTTAGTAGAAACGGGGTTTCACCGTGTTAGCCAGGATGGTCTCGATCTCCTCACCTCGTGATTCGCCCACCTTGGCCTCCCAAAGTGCTGGGATTACAGGTATGAGCCACTGCATCTGGCCTGGCCTATTGTGTTATTCTTGTATGGTCTGTTTTCCTTATTATAAAACAACGTTTATAAGAACCGTTTTTTTTGTATTTTTGCCTTGTTTCTTTTTTTTTTTTTTTCCAGGAATGGGTAAGAGGACTAGTTACTTAATAATTATTTGTGGAATGAATGATAGTAGCTTAACATTGATTTACTCCTCTATCTTCCCAACAAGACTTGGTCCAGGAACAAAATAAAACCTTATTTACCTTGTTTTTCAACTGGGTTTGAACAAAGAGACAAAGGTCAGAAACAAATTATTCCAAAAAGACCTAAGATGGTGTATAAAGTATATGACATACTTCTCTTTTGTGCTTTTAAAAAGAGATTTTTATAAAGTGTAATATTTTTAAAGTAATGCACTCATTACTAGCTTTAAGTAAAATTGAAATTTAACACATTTTTGTAACATTAGAGGTGTGATTTACGTTTTATTTAAAATAGAGATATTAAGAGACAATACAATTTGACCGTCCAATTTACCTTTAGTTATCCATATGTGCAAGATATGAGTATAAAAATAATCTACTGAGTATAAAATAATCTACACTAAACTTGTTTTTGGAAAAATTCTAGTGGAGATACATAATCACATGTACTGTCTAAAAATGAACACTGATCTTTTCATTTTTTCTTTTCTTTTTCTTCCTTCCTCTATTTCACCCTTCCTTCCTTCCTTCTTTCTTCCTCTCTACTCCTTTCCATCCATAAACATTGACAACTGATTTTTCACAGACAAAAGTAATTCAATAAAGAAAGTATAGTATTTTCAAGCAATTACCCTGGAATAGTTGGACTTTCATAGGCAAAAAATTAAGCTTAATTGATACTTTAAACCTTGTATAAAATTAATTCAAATAAGATTATACACCTAATATTAGAATGGAAAATTATGAAACTTTTAGTGGAAAATGTAGTAAAAATTATTTGTGGCATGCTGTGTCCAGAATTGGCGGGTTCTTGGTCTCACTGACTTCAAGAATGAAGCCGCGGACCCTCGCTGTGAGTGTTACAGTTCTTAAAGATGGTGTGTCCGCAGTTTGTTCCTTCTGATGTTTGGATGTGTTCAGAGTTTCTTCCTTCTGGTGGGTTCGTAGTCTCACTGACTTCAAGAGTGAAGCTGCAGACCTTCGCGGTGAGCGTTAGAGCTCTTAAGGCGGTGCGTCTGGAGTTGTTTGTTCCTCCCATCCGGAGTTGTTTATTCGTCCCGATGGGTTCATGGTCTTGCTGGCCTCAGGAGTGAAGCTGCAGACCTTCGCGGTATTACAGTTAATAAAGGCAGTGCAGACCCACAGAGTGAGCAGCAGCAAGACTCACTGCAAAGAACGAAAGAACAAAGCTCCCACCATATGGAAAGACACCCTAGCAGGTTGCCGTTGCTGGCTGGAAGCCTGCGTTTATTCCCTTATCTGACCCCACCCACATTCTGCTGATTGGTCCATTTTACAGAGAGCTGATTGGTCCGTTTTACAGAGAGCTGATTGGTCCGTTTTGACAGGGTGCTGAATGGTGCATTTACAAACCTTGATCTAGACACAGAGTGGTGATTGGTGCATTTGCAAGACTTGAGCTAGACACAAAAGTTCTCCAAGTCCCCACCTGACTCAAGAGCCCAGCTGGCTTCCCCTAGTGGATCCTGCGCCAGGGCCACGGGTGGAGCTGCCCGCCAGTCCCATGCAGATGTCTGCACTCCTCAGCCCTTGGGCAGTCCATGGGACTGGGCGCTGCAGAGCAGGGGGCGGTGCCCGTCAGGGAAGCTCGGGCTGCATTGGAGCCCACGGGGGGAGGGGAAGGGGGGGAAAAGGGGGAGGAAGGCAGGGGAGGGGAAGGGGGTGGGAGAAGGTGGGGGCAGGGGGAAGGGGGGCAGATGGGGGGAAAGGGGGCAGGCGGGGGGGAAGGGGGGCAGGCGGGGGGCTGGGCGGGGGTGGGGGGAGCCTCGGGCCAGGTGGGCTGCAGGTCAGGAGCCCTGCCCTGCGGGGAGGTGGCTGAGGCCTGGGGAGAATTCCAGTGTGATTCGGGCAGGCTGGCAGTGCTGGGGCACCTGGCACACCCTCCGCAGCTGCTGGCCTGGGTGCTAAGCCCCTCACTGCCCAGGCCAGCAGTGCCGGCTGGCTGCTCTGAGTGCGGGGCCATGGAGCTGGCACCCACCTGGAACTTTGGCCTGCATGCAGCCTCGGTTCCCGCCTGTGCCTCTCCCTCCACACCTCCCCACAAGCAGAGGGAGCTGGCTCCGGCCTCAGCTAGCCCAGAGAGGGGCTCCCACGGTGCAGTGGTGGGCTGAAGGGCTCCTCAAGCATGGCCAGAGTAGGCGCCCAGGCCAGGGAGGTGCCGAGTGACCCACAGCTGCCAGCACGCTGTCACCTCTCAATGCTATATATAAAATAAGAACGAACTAAGCATCATCAAAATTGGTTCTATGAAACACTCTGTTAAGAGGATTAAAATATAAAAACATGAGAAGAAATATTTGAAAGTTACATAGCTAATAACTTCTATCTGTAAATATAAAGAACTCTCAAAACTCAACAATAAGAGAATGAAATAACCAAACATAATAATTGTCAGAAGATTTGATCAGACAGTTCATCAGAGAAAATGGCTAATGAGCATATCAACAGATGCTTAATATCATTAATCATTTGGGAAATCAAAATTGCAACCATACTGAAATACCACTACACAGTCATTAGAATTAGTAGGAAAAACCTGACAATACTTAGTGCTAAGTGTTCGAAAAGAATTCAGAACAGCTGGAACTGTCATATATCACTGATCAACATAGAAAAACAGTACAGCTACTATGAAAAAGGCTATGGCAGTTTTTATACAGTTAAACATTCACTCACTGCATTACAGCAGTCCACTCCTATGTACTTTCCAAGGGAAATGAAATCTATGTTCACACAGATAGCTGTAAGTACATAATATCTTTATTCATAGCTATCTACAACTCGAAACTCCCAAGTGTCTCTCACTTGAGGAATGAATAAACAAATGATGGTGCATCTGTAATGAAATTATACTCAGCAACAGAAAGGAATAAAATATTGATATACAAAATAAATTGCTCATAGTTATAGATTGTCCGTGTTTTTCTGAAAAGATAAAGATGTCTTTTGATTTTCTTTGTGGGGTTAAGTATACTTGGTAAGATCATGATCTCCTGAAAATAAAATTATGTAACTTCAATTAATAAACAAAAAGAATCATAACATACTAAATTCTGCACAACTTTGGTGAGGTGGCAGTTTTTTAATCCTTGATTTAAAAAATAGAAATTCTGAAACTTTTGGAATTCTCCGAAACAGAGGATGCTGTGTGCTATGTATGTAATGAATGGCAGTTGCTTAGGGAGAGCTCACAAATTAACTGTAGCTTAATCAGCACATTCATGTTAATTTGGCAACCTAGGTGAAGCTGAGAGTATTTCTCAGTTTTGAGGGGAAAATCAGCAGCTTACTTAAAACCAGTCTCTTATTTATTTGGGTAATGTAAGTGGATACCTCAAATTTAATCATATCTGTCTATATTAAATAATAGTGTAGTAAACATGTAAATGAAGGACCTTACCCATGTCACACTTCAGAAGTGGTTGATGCCAATTATTAGGATTTTCAGTTACCATCCAGATTATGATCAACAATCATGATAGGAATAGAATTCACTGTTAAAAGCACCTAAGCCTCTTTTTCTTAGATATAGAGTCACTCACTTGTATTCTCATCCATTGAAGGGGAGAAGGAAACCTCCAGTGTATACTATGCAGCAGGTTCTATGTCAGAGGTATTGACGTTACCTAATGCAATATACATATATACATATATACATATAACATTTTATGCAGCAAATTGATTCTCTATTTCTAAAATGTGGAAGTTGAGTGTCAGAGGGATCATCTTATCCAAAATCACATAGTCCGTGAGTGTTGCAGCTTAAAATGTGTACTTTTTTTTTTTTTGAATCTTGGAAATGCCCACCTCAATTTGAAGACTGAAAAATATCTGCACAGGGTCTCAGCAAGTCAATTTAGTCAAATTTATGTAGCCTAGAAGGCAATGGTAGTAGAGTGGGGTGGTAGAACTTTCTGACAGCCTAGGTATTGATATATAATGAGAAATGCTCTTCAGCACCTTTTAGCTAAATTGTATTGATAAAATTTAGGGACAGCCTATCTAATCTACATATAACATATATATACACACACGTTCATCTACATACATATATGTTTTCAAAATATAACTCTTTTAAACACAAATTTTAAGCCAGACAATATACTCATTGGATGAATTTTAAGGAAAAGTTTGAGTAATTATTAGTAATTAACACTAAGATTATTTAGAGAGTATTGTATTTTTTGTCTGATTTTATCACGTACTGCTGATGTCTGTCCCTTTTTCATAGTGAGAGACTGAACTGTCTGCCAAGACAAAGAAGAGAGATTACAAAAAGAAAAAAAAAAGAGTCTTTATAGTCTTATAAATAGCATTTATAAGCCCGAGTTTTAACATTAGTATGAAGCAATTACCTAATGGAAAGGAGTAATAAAATATGTCAAGTGATAACTCTAAGCTATTACATCTCCTTTTGAGAGTTTATATAATCTGGCTAAGCTAGTTAAATTTTTTATGTAACTATTCAAAATTGAAGGGTAAATTAGCCTCTTCTTACAAACTCCAGGCTATTTAAGAAGGTTGTTTAGAATTGAGGCATGGTAAGACACCTAATATCTTTAGATCTACCACACATAGTTGAGATATTTTCTTTTACTATGCTTACATTTAGCCTTTTTCTTGACTGACAAAAGTGGCAGGGGAGATTACAGCATGGATATGAATGATCTCATCTTCACAAGAGTCAAATACATACTAATAACCGTTAATGAGAACTATGTACCAAGAGCTGTAAAAATTGTGCTAAATATATTACCTTATTTCATATTTACACCAACTTTCTAGGCATGTGCTATTTTTTGTTGTTGTTTTTGTTCTTTGTTTTTGAGACAGGGTCCTGCTCTGTCACCCAGTCTGGAGTGCACTGGTGCAATCACGGCTCATCACAGCCTCAACTTCCCGGGCTCCAGTAATCCTCCCACCTTAGCCTCCCCAGTAGCTGGGATCACAGGCACATGCCGCCATGCCCGGCTCTTTTTTTTTTTCTTTTTTAGTAGAGACAGGGTTTCATGTTGCCCAAACTGGTCTTGAACTCCTGAGCTCAATTGATCTGTCCTCCTCGGCCTCCCAAAGTTGTGGGATTATAGGTGTAAGCCACAGCGCCTTGTTGGTGTGTGCTATTTCAATCTAGTTTGTTTGTAAGGAAACTGAGTATTATGAGGTTAAACCATTTACGTGTTCAAACTTAAATGTAAACTTGAGATCTGCTTGACTCTATTAATTGCATTCCTTGACTTTTCTATCCTCAAATACAGTCCATGTCATCTACAGACAATATTTAACATAAGGATTTCAAAATTGTCTTCAAATGCCTCCTTTCTATTTAGCCAAGTTTTTGAAATGTATAAGGCTCTGATTTCACAGATACCGGTTATTTTAAAGATTCACAAAAGCTCAACAAATAATTGTTACTTGGATGAATCTCTCTTCCTATCCTGTCATTTTAATCATGAAGCAATTTGTGGCTATAAAGAAATTAAAAGTGTATTCCACATTCACACAGTAAATTATGGAGCCAAGTTTTGAAACCATAATTTCTTGCTTCAACTGCCCTACTTCAGTTAACTTTATTAATGATCAAGAAAGACACCACAAATACACATGAATATAATAAAGCATATTGCTCAATTTAGTGGAAAAAATGTTAAGATAAATAGAAATCAAGAGGTGAGTGGCACATCTCTGACTTAGAACAGTGCTTCATAGATTATGACATCAAAAGAGACATAGAAAATGACATTTCTGTGGCCCAGTGAGGTGACTTGACCTAGGCTGTTTGTGGCTAGAGGAGAATGGCCCCATCGTCCTAGCCAAATGAGGCAACTGGTTACTCAGTTTCCACTTGACCAGCCCAAGCGCTGTAAGGCCAGTATCTCAGCACACCTGTAAATAGGCTGATACACATTCAGCCTGATTTTTTAAAGGCACTTAGTTTATTAAAATATTAAAATACTCCTGTTTCTTTTGGTCAGTAGCTAGTTCACCCAGTCCCCCAAATACCCCTACTCACAGGTCTTTCCATTGTCCTAAAACAGAGGGGGGAAATACCAGCACCAGGATGCCTCCGGGACTCCTCTTCCTTTTCGGCCCTCTACCTGTGACCCAGCAGTCTGTTCTGACACACTAGTTAGAAATTGCAGTCTTAGAAAATTTACTTTAATGGTTAAGTGTTGGATTATTTTCCTGGGAATTTATGATTAATTAGTTATTTAAAATCCTGTTTAGGCACTCTAAAATAATTAAATGCTATTTGAAGTCATTACCTAACCATTGAGCATCTCTTAATACCACCATACAGTTATAAAATATAATCCATTTTTTTAAAAAATCTACTGCTATAATAGAATTACTATATGTATAATCAATGGTGAGATTATTACCACATTGCTGGTAGAAATGTAAAATGGTATAGCCATTCTGAAAAACCATTTGACAGTATCATGTAAAACTAAACATACAAACCAGCAATTGCACTGTTGGTCATCAATGCCAGATAAATGAAAACTTCTTTCACTCAAAAACCTGTATAACAGTTCTCATAGTAGCTTTAGTTTTAATAGGCCAAAAACTGGAACTAATCCTTCAACAGGTAAATGCCTAAACAAACAGTGATACATCCATAGTATGGAATATGGAATACTACTTAGCAATTAAAAAATATAGACTATTGATACACTCAAAACCTGAGATGAATATTCAGAGAATTATGCCATGCGTAAAAGGTTACAAAATTTATGATTACACTTATGTAACACTTTTGAAATGACAAAATTATAGAAATGGAGATCACATTAAAGATTGCCAGGGGTCAGGGATAGGGAGAGAGGGGTAGAGTAAGAGAGAGATAGGAGTGATTATAAAAGGACAATGTTAGGTATCCTTGTAATGGAGCTGCTCAATATCTTAACTGTATTAATGTCAATATCTCGGCTGTGATACTGTATTGTAGTTTTTCAACATCTTATCATTGGTGGAAATTAGGTATCAAGTACATAGAAACTATTTGTATTGTTTCTTTTTTAATACATATGTTATATATTATGGGGTACTTGTGAGTGTTTCATGTATAAAATATGTAATGACCAAGTTAGGATGTGTGAGGTATATATCACCTTGAATATGTATCATATCTTTAAGTTGGTGTCATCTGAGGACCTCTCTTCTAGTTATGTTGAAATATAAAAAATATATATATATAGTTGCTTAGTCACCACAGTCTGCTATTAAACATCACAACTTATTACTTCTATATTATTGTATGTTTGTATCCATTAATGAATCTTTCTTCATCTCAGCTTCCCAGTCTCTGGTATCTATCATTCTATTCTCCATGTTTGTGTGATCAAGGTTTTTATCTGCCACATATGAGTGAGAACATGCCCTATGTTTTTCTGTGCCTGGCTTATTTCACTTAGCATAATGGCCTTCAGTATAATCCATGTTGTTGCAAATGACATGATTTTATTCTTTTTTATGTCTGAATAGTATTTCATGGGACATATACCACATTATTTTTTATTCATTTGTTCATTGACATACACTTAGGCTGATTCCATATCCTTGCTATTGTGTATTGTGAATAGTGCCACAATAAACATGCAAGTGCATGTTGCAGATATCACTTTGATATATGGATTTCTTTACATTTGAGTAAATAACTAGTAGTAGGATTTTTGGATCATATGGTTGTTCTATTTTAAGTTGTTTGAGTAATCTTCATTCTGTTTTCAAGTGGTTATGCTAATTTACATTTTCACCAATAGTGTATGAGTTCTCTTTTCTCTACATCCTCTCCAATATCTGTTATGCTTTGTCTTTTTTTTTTTTTTTTTTTTTTGAGACAGAGACTCACTCTGTCACCCAGGCTGGAGTGCAGTGGCACAATATCGGCTCACTGCAAGCTCCATCTCCCGGGTTCAAGCGATTCTCCTGTCTCAGCCTCCACAGTAGCTGGGACTACAGTCACATGCTACCATGCCCAGCTAATTTTTATATTTTTAGTAGAGATGGGGTTTCACCATGCTGATCAGGCTGGTCTCGAACTCCTGACCTCAGATGATCCACCTGCCTCGGCCTCCGAAAGTGCTGAGATTACAGATGTGAGCCACTGCGCCTGGCCATTGCTTTGTCCTTTTAATAATAGCCATCCTAACTGGGATGAGATGATATCTCACTGTGGTTTTGACTTGCATTTTTCTGAGGATTAGTGATAACAAACATTTTTTCACATACCTGTTGGCCGTTTGTATGTCTTCTTTTGAGAAATGTTTATTCATGTCCTTTGCCTATTTTTAATGGGATTATTTATTTTTTACTATTGAGTTGTTTGAGTTCCTCATGTATTCTGGACATTAGTCCCCTGTTGGATGAGTAGTTTGCAAATATTTTCTCCCATTCTATATGTTGTCTCTTCACTCTGGTGATTATTTTGTTGTGCAGAATATAAATTTTCACTTGTTTATTTTTTATTTTGATGCCTATGCTTGTGAGGTCTTAGCCATAAAATATTGCCTGGCCCAGTGGTCTGAAGAGTATTATCTATGTTTTCTTCTATTAGTTTTATAGTTTTGGAACTTACATTTAAGTCTTTAATCCATTTTGAGTTGACTTTTGAATATGGTGAGCAATATGAGTCCAGTTTCATTCTTCTGTATGTGGTTATCCAGTTTTCCCAGCACCATTTATTGAAGAGGGCGTTCTTTTCCCAATGGGTGTTCTTGTCTGCTTTGTCAAATATCAGTTGGCTGTTGGCTGTGAATATGTGGCTTTATTTCTGGGTTCTCTACTCTGTTCCATTTGTCTGTTTGTTTTTATACCAATATCATGGTATTTGGTTACTGTAGCATTGTAGTATGTTTTGAAGTCAAGGTGATGCTCAGGATTGTTTTCACTATTCTGGTCCTTCTTGGTTCTATACAAATTTAAAGATTGTTTTTCTATTTTTGTCAAAAATAGCATCAATATTTTAATAGAGATTGCATTAAATGTGTAGATTTCTTTCTTTTAGACATATTTTAGACATATTTAGTCATATTAATTCTTCCAATCCATGAGGATGAAATGTGTATTTCATTTGCTTACATCATCTTCAGTTTTTTTCATCGATGTTGCAGTTTTTCTTCTAAAGATCATTTACTTCCTTGGTTAAATTTAATTCTAGCTTTTTTAAAATTTTTATTTTTGTAGCTATTGTAAATGGGATTGCTGCCTTGATTTTTTTCCAGCAATTACACTATTGGCATTTAGAAATACTACTGATTTTGGTTTGTTGATTTTGTATCTTGCAACTTTACTGAATTTATTAGTTCTAAGAGGTTTTGGTGAAGTATTTTGTTTTTTCTAAATATAAGATAACATTGTTTACAAAGAGGGATGTTTTGACTTTCTCTTATTTAATGTGGATGCTTTTTATTTCTTTCTCTTGGCTAATTACTCTGCATAGGACTTCCAGTACTATGTTGAAGAGGAGTCGTGAAAGTGGGCGTTCCTCTCTTGCTTCAGGTAAGGAAATGCTTTCAACTTTTCTTCATTCAGTATGATGCTGGCTGTGATTTGTCATAAATGATCTTTATTATTTTGAGATATGTTCCTTCTGTGCTTAGTTTGTTGACAATTTTTATTATGAAGGGGTGTAGAATTTTATGAAATGCTTTCTTGGTATCCATGGAGATGATGATATGGTTTTTGTCCTTCATTCTGTTGATTTAATGTTCCATATTTATGATTTGCATATGTTAAGCCATCCCTGCATCCTTGATATTAATCACAATTTATCATTGTGTATTATCTGTCTGATACACTGTTGGATTTCATTTGCTGGTATTTTTGAACATTTTTGCATCTGTTTATCAGGGATATTGGCCTTCAACTTTCTTCTTTTGTTGTTGTGTCTTTTTCTGGTTTTGGTATCAGTAATGCTTTATTTATTTTTTTTTTAGGGTGGGAATTCTTTGTTTTATTTTCCTTTTTTTTCATTTTTTTATATTTTAAGTTTTAGGGTACATGTGCACAATGTGCAGGTTTGTTACATACGTATGCATGTGCCATGTTGGTGTGCTGCACCCATTAACTCGTCATTTAACATTAGGTATATCTCCTAATGCTATCCCTCCCCACTCCCCCTACCCCACAACAGGCCCCAGTGTGTGATGTTCCCCTTCCTGTGTCCATGTGTTCTCATTGTTCAATTCCCACCTGTGAGTGAGAATATGTGATGTCTGGGTTTTTCTCCTTGCGATAGTTTGCTGAGAATGATGGTTTCCAGCTTCATCCATGTCCCTACAAAGGACATGAACTCATCATTTTTTATGGCTGCGTAGTATTCCATGGTGTATATGTGCCACATTTTCTTAATCCAGTCTATCATTGTTGGACATTTGGGTTGGTTCCAAGTCTTTGCTTTTGTGAATAGTGCCACAATAAACATACGTGTGCATGTGTCTTTATAGCAGCATGATTTATAATTCTTTGGGTATATACCCAGTAATGGGATGGCTGGGTCAAATAGTATTTCTAGTTCTAGATCCCTGACGAATCGCCACACTGACTTCCACAATGGTTGAACTAGTTTACAGTCCCACCAACAGTGTAAAAGTGTTCCTATTTCTCCACATCCTCTCCAGCACCTGTTGTTTCCTGAGTTTTTAATGATCGCCATTCTAACTGGCATGAGATGGTATCTCATTGTGGTTTTGATTTGCATGTCTCTGATGGCCAGTGATGATGAGCATTTTTTCATGTGTCTTTTGGCTGCATAAATGTCTTCTTTTGAGAAGTGTCTGTTCATATCCTTTGCCCACTTGTTGATGGGGTTGTTTGTTTTTTTCTTGTAAATTTGTCTGAGTTCTTTGTAGATTCTGGATATTAGCCCTTTGTCAGATGAGTAGATTGCAAAAATTTTCTCCCTTTCTGTAGGTTGCCTGTTCACTCTGATGGTAGTTTCTTTTGCTGTGCAGAAGGTCTTTCGTTTAATTAGATCCCATTTGTCAATTTTGTCTTTTGTTGCCATTGCTTTTGGTGTTTTAGACATGAAGTCCTTGCCCATGCCTATGTCCTCAATGGTATTGCCTAGGTTTTCTTCTAGGGTTTTTATGGTTTTAGGGCTAACATTTAAGTCTTTAGTCCATCTTGAATTAATTTTTGTATAAGGTGTAAGGAAGGGATCCAGTTTCAGCTTTCTACATATGGCAAGTTTCTTCATAGAATGAATTAGGGAGAATTCCCTCCTCTGATTTTTTGAAATAGTTTGAGGAAGATTTGCATTAGTTTTTTATATCTGTAGTAGAATTTCCTAGTGAATCCATCCAGTCCTGGGCTTTTCTTTGTAGGGAGATTTTTTTATTACTAATTCAATCTCACTACTTGTTATTGGTCTGCTCAGATTTTCTGTTTCTTCTGATTCAATGTTGGTTGCACATTTCCAGGAATTTATCGATTTCCTCTAGGTTTTCTGTTTTGTTAGCACATAATTGTTCATCATAGTCTCTGATGATCACTAATGATGTATCTTCGTTCATTTCTTATTTTGCTTATATAGATCTTCTCTCTTTTTGGTTAGCCTACCTGGTAGTTTATCAATTTTATTCATATTTTCAAAAAAACAACTTTTCTTTTTATTAATCCTTTTTTTTGGTTTCTATTTTGTTTAGTTCTTATTGCATCTTTATTATATCTTTTTTATGCTGATTTTGGATATGGTTTGTTCTGGCTTTTCTAGTTCTTGAGGTGCATGATTAGATAGTTTATTTGATTTTTTTTCCTGTTTCTTTGATGTAGGCGTTTATTGTTATAAACTTCCCTCTTAGCACTGCTTTTGCTGCATCCCACAGGTTTTAATAAATTGTGTTTCCATTGTTATTTGTTTCAGGACTTTTCTTGTTTTCCATCTTAATTTCTTCATTGGTCCAGTGGTTTTTCAGGACTATGCTGTTTGGATAGTTTCCAAAGTTTCTTTTGTTTTTTGATTTCTAGCTTTTTCCATTGTTGTCTGAGAAGATTCTTGACATAATTTTGCTTTTCACAATTTTGTTGACACTTGTTATGTAGCCTAACATGCCGTCTACCCTGGAGAATGTTCCATGTGCTGATGGAAAGAATGTATATTCTGTAGTCATTGGATAGAATGTTCAGTAAATATCTGTTATGTTCATTTGGTCCTAAGGTCCAGTTTATATCTCATGTTTTCTTGTTGATTTTCTGTCTAGGTGATATGTCTAATGCTGTAAGTGGGGGTGTTGTGGTCCCCCACTATTATTGTATTAGAGTCTTTCTCGCTCTTTCGATCTAGCAATATTTTCTTTATGAATCTGTGTGCACCAGTGTTAGGTGCATATATATTTCTAATTGTTGTATCCTCTTGTTAGATTGATCCCCTTATTTTCATATAATGACCTTCTTTGTCTTGTTTCACTATTTTTGACTTAAAGCCTGTTTAATCTGATATAAGTATAGTTACTCCAGCTTGCTTTTGGTTTCTGTTTCTATGGAGTATTTTTTCCCACCTCTTTAATTTCAGCCTATATTTGTCTTTATAGTGCATTTCATGTGCAAGCCTGAGCATAGAGGCTACACTGTCAGTGGGGGTGTGGTTACGACTCAGCTCCAGACAGGCAGCCCCCTAAATGCAGCAACAGCAGCTGCAGCTGTGGTGGTGTGCAGAGTGGGGTAAAGGGTCATACTCTCTATGTGTCAGCCTGAGCATAGAGGCCACTCTGCCAGTGGGGGAAGGGTCAATGCCTTCAGCCCCAGACTGTGAGCTCTGAGGCTTGCCTACCTGATATCTTAATGGCAGCAACTGCTGTAGCAGTGTGCATGAGGGAGGAGGAGATTCTACATTTCTGCTGGAGCCACAGATTGTGCTATTCCTGGGGAGTAGGTCACTTCTCAGAGTCCCAGACAGGGAGCTCTCATACTCTATTAAGCACACACTTTGGGTTTCTTTGTCCTGGGGGCTGCCTCCTTGGTATGCTGCACCATCTTTTCCATGGGAAATAGTACTCCATGAAAGTTAGGGTACTAGGGACATTGCAGTAACTTTGGGTCCAGCCCTTGCTGTGCCACTGTAGCCCCCTGGGTGGGCACTGTGATATGTCAGTGGGGTATCCTGGGGTGTGGAGATATGGGGGCTGTGATTTCCAGGATAGAATGCAGTTCAGTGATGGCTGTGTTCTCATGATGGCACTGTGCTGCAGCTGCTTTGGTCTCCAGGGCGTATGTGTCTTAGCATGAGTTCCTGATTGGGTGCAATGCCCTTGCAGGGAATCCACATCACTGCACATGCTAGTGTCAGGATTCATGTGGGTAGCAGAGTTCTTCCATGGTTAGGCTTACAGCAGTCGTTGGTGAGGATGTGGACTGCTTAGGGTCTCTTACTCTCCAGGCTCTCAGCCAATCTTTGCTGTGCTGGCCACTCATTTCCTTCCCTTTCTGTGTCTCAGGTGTTTCGTGTGACTTCTCTGGTGAACTCCAGTGCTCTCTCCTAAATGTTCTCTTCACAGCGTAATTATCTAATCATAATTTCGGTTCTTCTTTCTGGAGAGGGCAAATGTTGGATATCTCTAGTCAGGCATGTTGAACCTATCCTTTTCTGTATTATTTCTTAAAACTGCATATGAACCTATAATTATTTCATAATAAAAGTTTAATTAAAAATGAAACATTGATGCCCTTGTACCAGACCACAGATCTTTAAACTATAATCACATTCCACTTTCTATTCTCAAAGGAAAAAGACATTTTCTTCTCTTGAAGCCTTAACAATTATCTTTCATTTACATTGGTTCTGAATGGTTTTTCTTTGTCAATTCCTGGACCAGTTATTGCTTCTGGGAGAATGGAATATTCTGATTAGGTTAAGCCAGTCAGGGCCTACTATTCAAGAGGAAGTGGAGCCCATTACTTATAAATCATAATGGTAAGAAAGAAGGAGAGATGGTTTCCAGGAGAACTAATTTTTAAAGTAAACAAACAAACAGTAAGTGCCCACTGCCATCCTAATCTATTTAAATAATGCTCTGTATTTGAACCTTTAAATGATTTCTAATATTGCTTTATTTTAAATAATGTCATTATAAACACAATTATGTACACTTTTCTGATAGTAAGGATTGTATATTTTGGAAAGTATCCTAGAATTGATAATACTATGCCAAATATTCCACTTTTCATGAATTTTCATTGATTGATTGATTGATTCATTCATTCATTCATCAAATGTAATTGTACTGCAGACACCAAAGTGAGCAAAATTTCAAGAATAAGAGGTAGGTACCATCTGCCCATTTGTGATGAAGGTTGCAGTAATAGGATAATTATAGGTTTCTAAGCCAATAGACTAGAAGATAACTGGTTGTGATGATGGAGGAAGTGATTGATATTAAAACTATGTTTTATATTTGAATGCTTAAATGTTAATCGGGCTACAGGAAGCATGTTCTACAGCAAGAACAAATGGGCTCACATGAAGATGTAAGAAAGAACCTGGGAAAATAGAAGGTAGAGCTGCCTGGAACTTAGATTTGAGGGCCGTGGAATAGGAGATGGAGTTAAGGGAAAATTAACTTAATGAGTAATTGAACAGTAACAGAAAAGTAACTAAAGGATTTTGAAAACATTTTAAGCAGTTTGACCTTAAGTGAGAGCAAGAGGATATTATTACAATAGTTTTAAGCAAAGAAGTGACATGATCAAAATTACTTTGTGGCTTAATGAATGTAGCAAGTGGAATAAGAATGGATGCTGAAGGACAAACATAAGATAATTGTGGGAATTCAGATAGCTATGATGTTACCCTAAGTTGAAGTGATGTGTGTGGACAATGGAGGAGAATGGAGATTGGAATAATACTTGATAAGGCAGAATGAATTACACTTAGCCACTGGAAGAGAAAGCCTAGGGAAAGAGAATAGAAAAAAAGTAATTCTTAAAATTTTAGATGCTTTCCAAAAGAATGTTGTCTTATCATTAACAACATGTGGGATTTTTGTTTTAAAAAGCATTTTAAATGACATTTCATTGTTGACTTAATTTGCATTTTTTTGTTCTGGCACTAAAACAGAACATTTCCAATATGTCTGTCAGCTGTTTTTTACTCCTTTATAATATGAAATATATTGTAACGTTCTCAGGGAATGTCTGAGAGAGGAGGAAGGTTTACATAATTTTTCATTTTTAGGATATCTAGTTTCTATTAAATTATCTATGAGTGTTTACTCAATACTACAATTTCCCATCTAAATTTATATTTCCTTTTGATCTAATTTCCCTCAGAAATCAAGTTAATCTTTTATTTCAGATATTTTCTAACATATCTAACTGGAGAAAGATTTCCAAATTTTAATTTGTATTTACTTCATTCAGACATTAAATCAGCAAATATTTGTTGAGTGCCCATTGTGTGCCTGAAACTGTTCCAGTCCTTTAGACTATTTACTGTCAATTAAGGAATCTCTATGCACAATCAAAGCACCTTACCATTTGTCTATTATGAAACTTTAGCACTGTCTTCATCTTGACATGTTGTGTGTTCAATTAAAATAATCACTTTACTCTTCCAAGTACTTCTTCAGGTAAATTGAGAGTTAGTAGTAAAAAAGTTTTTACTAATTTAATGACTGTAATTCTAACACTATGCATGCTTATTTCAATATTTTAAGCTGTTTTTAATGCTGATCATCAGAAATTTTTCCAACACAATGACCCTTATCAGTCATATCAAATTTTTATTTCTCTCTCTATGAAATAGAAAATAACTTTCAGTGAGACTTGTGTACCTGAGAATTATTTTGCCCTTATAAATGTTTGACAAACTACTTGGTAGAATTTTTTATTTAAAATTTCTAAACTCAAATTGCTGTGGATGTTGCTCTAATTTGGTATTACTTTAGGTTCTTTGGTTGCAAAAATAAAATCAATTTAAAAAGATTAAGATTCTGCTAACTTATACATTATTCAAACAAACAAAAGGATTTCTATAAAGGATAGGAAGTGTCTAAAGGTAAACACTGAAGTTTAGGAAAAGAGATAAAGGCAACAGAAACATTTTACCAGGGTGCAGCCTCATAATAATGTAATTTAATAATTTCTTACTTCTCCATTATAGATTAATATTCACAGAGGAGATCAACTGAGTATCAGGGACTTGAGATGTTTTGATCAAACCAGTCTGTATCACATACTGTCTCTCTTTGTTGCCATAGAGATTGGAATCTGCTCCCAGAAGAAGGGGTAATAGGCAAGCAAAGAGAATCGAAATCACTGTGCATGCCCTACCTGACCAAAGTCATAGGTTAAGTACTAACCTCCCACTCAGTTTTCAATTCCTAAAATGCTCCTGTTTCACATCATGTGTTTACCTCACATACAATCAAAAATTATCTTATTACATTTAATTAGGAAAACCAAAAGCGATTGTTGGCTACTGCTCCTAAAGACGATTGACACCAGCATGCTCCGTGCCATGGTTTGAATGTGTTCCCCACAGTTCATGTTTAGGAAACTTAATCTCTAAAGATATATGTTGATAGTATTTGGAGGTGGGTATATGATGTCTTTCCATGTGATGCCTTCCTCCTTGTTATGAAGCAAAGAAGGCCCTCACTGGATGTCGCTGCTTGATGTTGAAATTTTCAGCCTCTAGAACTGTGAGAAATATTTTTTTTAAATAAATTATCCATGTTTGGTATTCTCTTATAGCAACACAAAATTAACTCAGACAAAAAACTTGTACAAAGAATGGGGCTGTTACTGCAAACCACAACGTAACTGAGACAGGTCTCAATCAATTTAGAAGTTTATTTTTCTAAGGTTAAGGACATGCTGCGGAAGGAGGTCTGTGCCTTTCTCCAAATATGATTTTAAAGGCTTCCGTATTTAAAGAAGAAGAGTGGGCTGGATGGGAAAGAGGAAAGGTATGGTAATCCATATGTTGCAAAAGAAAAGAAGCAGATAGGGGAATAGTCAATTAAGTATTCCTCTAGGGTCAGAAAATTGGCACTTTACATAAGATAGGGTGAACATAGAGTAGTTACCTGTGGAGATACTTAACCTTTTCCCTATAGCTATCTGCTTAGGAACGAAAGGGAAGGCAGTTTCTGGCATGACCCAGCTTTCAGCTTAATTGTTTCCTTTTGGCATAGTGAATTATGATCCCAAATTTTTATTTTCTTTTCACATTGCTATAACAATTACCCAAAGATGTGAAAGTGGCTTTAGAACTGGGTAATGGGCAGAGACTTGGAAGAATTTCAAGGAACAGGCTAAAAAAAAAAAAAAAAAAAGACTGTATTTCCCTGAGCAGAGCATTAAGGGCTACTCTGGTGAGGGCTCAGAAGAGCGCTGTAGGCAAATTAACATATGTAACCACCATAAATATTAGTTGGTGTTGTTGTTGTTATTATTATTATTATTATAGCTTAAGACTCTATCAACAATCCAGTGGAAGCATATGACATCCTATGGGACAGTGAATCATATAAATTTGCTGAAAACTTTATATAGCACAGAACTAGAAGGGAGATATATCCCAGAGTAAAAGATACATCACAAAGGCAGTTCCTGCCAGCAAGCTTCTCTTTTACCCTGTGTTCAATTGAAATGTAATTGCTACATCGGTAAAAACATACCTATTGCCAAAGCACATATTCACATGAACATCTGGATAGCAGACACAGTCATACTTATTAAGTGATAAGTTTACAGTAATTGATTATTACTTCTTTTCTAATAACCAAAGTAGTCAAATGAATAGGTATATACTATGAATCACAGGGCTAGGATTTTTCCAGTTTTTGAAGTTTACACCAATTTTCATATTCCTCAGGGATGAAAAATAGCAACAATGTGTTGTTTTTATTATTCGTTGGATGAATGTGTTTATCCTATCATAATTTGAGCAGGCTCCAAAAGTCAAGTAATCAAAGTGAGAATGATGCTATATAACAAACACCCATTCCTCTTACATATTCAAGAACTGATGGGAAAAAAAGTAACTTGGATTCAGGAACTCACTGCAATTAACATGAGGCAAATTTTGTTAGAATTTTAGTGATCACCTACTCCCACAACGCCCATTCTGTAAATTAGAATTTATGGTGGACTTCATGTAAACTCTAATTCCTCAGGAAGTAGTATTAGCTTGAAGCTTATGTCCAATTACCCTGTAAATATTTTCTTTTCCAATTACATGGAGTAAAAGCCCCCAGTTTTTTGGAGAATTTCAGAAGAAATGCTAAAGGAGAATATGCATGTGTGTTGTCCTAAAATTTTTATTTTCAATTCCTATTTTTTTAAAATTTGTCTTTCTTAAAGCTTTATGACTTCCATTTACTTGGCAAATTTTCATTGATTAATTGTTAGCGTCTAAAGATTTGGTTATAGTGACTATTATGAATACTCAAATTAGGCCTTTGTAATATTTGAGCAAAAATCTGAATAAGTGAGTAAGCTTCATGGCTAACTATGGACAGAGCCATTGAATAGAGGAGACTGCTTATGAAAAGGGCCTGAGGCATGTTCTAAGAATCAGTAATAAGACCAAGTTGGCTTTAGCAGATTAAAAAAACAAAACAAAACAAAACAAAAAAACAGGATAACAAGAGATAAGGTCAGAGATGTAACAAAGGTACATATTGCATAGGACCTGTAAGCCTTTATACAGTCTTTTATGCTAAGTGATAGAAGAAACTAAACAGGATTCAGAAAATAGCTTTAATAGGATCAAACATATTTTAATTGGATAAAACTAGCTATTGTGTGTAGAATAAACTATGGAGTGAAATAAGAGGAATTAGTTAAAAGGATTTTGCCTGCAATTCATTCTTGAAGTAGGTAAGTCCCACTTGGTTTTAAGCAACATAATTAAACTTAATCAAATACAAATTTGGAGTAACTTAAATTAGTTTAAAATATAATACATTCAACAGATATATAAATAATTGTATAAGGTTTATGAGCAATGTACTGGAGTAGCTCAAAAAACTATTTAAAGACATTATCTAAAGAAACATTGCAAAAGACAGATATCAATACAGCTTTGGAGACCTCTGCAACAGGGGTTTTTAAATCTTCGCTTTCTGGTGCACTGTGAAATAAAGAGCATTTCAATCCTGAGTCTCCATTCATAAATCAAATTGTAGAAAGTGAAAAGCAGTGGTTCAGCTTGGGTCAGGAATGCTCCACAAGTCTATTACTGTGTATGAAAATGTGAGTAACATTCATTTGCCCAGCCTCGATTACATGTCACCACTTTGGCAAGGCAAATGGGGCTTGATTCCTAAGGAAGAGACAGAAATTATGGCAGGCAGGCAAAACAAAATATAGTATTAATATAACATACAGTTGTGTACTGCATAACATTTCTGTGAACCTTGAACACATATAAGATGGTGGTCCCATAAGATTATAATGAAGCTGAAAAATTCCTATTGCCTAGCTGTTGTAATGTATTAACCTTTTCTATGTTTAGATATAAAAATATTTACTACTGTGTTATAATTGCCTACAGTATTCAGTACAGTAACATGCTGTATAGGTTTGTAGCCTGGAAGCAATAGGCTATACCATCTAGGTTTGTATACATGTACTCTATGGTGATCACACAATGATGAAATCACATAACAACACATTTCCTTTTTTTTTTCAAATTATACTTTAAGTTCTAGGGTACATGTGCACAACGTGCAGGTTTGTTACATATGTATACATGTGCCATGTTGGTGTGCTGCACCCATTAACTCGTCATTTACATTAGGTATATCTCCTAATGCTTTCCCTCCCCCAGTCCCCCATCCCACAACAGGCCCCAGTGTGTGATGTTCCCCTTCGTGTGTCCAAGTGTTCTCATTGTTCAATTCCCACCTATGAGTGAGTACATGCATTGTTTGTTTTTTTGTTCTTGCGATAGTTTGCTGAGAATGATGGTTTCCAGCTTCATCCATGTCCCTACAAAGGACATGAACTCATCCTTTTTTATGGCTGCATAGTACTCCATAGTATGTATGTACCACATTTTCTTAATCCAGTCTATCATTATTGGACATTTGGGTTGGTTCCAAGTCTTTGCTATTGTGAATAGTGCCGCAATAAAATAACAACACATTTCTTAGAACATATTCCCTTCATTAAGTAACACATCATTATAAGATAATATAAAATAATAGATTGTAATATATCTTATAGAGGAGGAAGTTAACAACAAAGCTATGTTTATTTTTAAACTGATGCATACAAAATTATATATGTAATTATCATATTTATACAGGAATCTTTTAAATTAATTTCTTATTTAAAAGAAGTAAATCAAAATATTGACCAAAAAACTTTCACAATAATTTTTTGTTTGTTAATCTATAGTGTTTACTCTGTTTTAGTTTTGAGAACACCATTATTTTTTGGCTTGATGTGTATTAAACACCTTCCTTATATTTTAATATTGTTTTTAATCACTTCATTTTTTTATAGTGTTGGTGTTTCTTAAGTTTTATGTTCCTACACACTGATGTAATATTGCAAAGGGCTGCATCTCTTTACTATCTCTGAAAAATATAGATTCAACTATAGGCTGATATTTTTTCATCATAAATATATTCTATGACAGGGAAATAGGTAAATATTATTTTAGGTTATTTTTCTATCCTATAATAGATATATTTATATACCTAGAGGGAACAACAATAATATCAAACTTTAATACATGATCCTCAAATAATAATTTTTGTTTATTCATACTTGTATAAAAATACATCTATCTGGTACTAGAGAACAAATGTGATATCCAAATTGCTCTATGTTCACTAATAATCAATATTGATGTCAAAAGAATCCAGCAGATATTTATAAATCACTAGCTTGCTTTCTAGAAAACCTGCCTCTGGAGACAATAGAGCATGTTTTTGTCACTAAAAGACTTTCTTCTTCTAGTACTATTAGTGTTAGCTTATTGGTATATTCTCTACATTCTTTTGAAGTTCAGTTTTTAAACTCTGGTCTCAGGAATGATAGAAATTTATTTTTTTCTATTTATGAGATTTTATGAGAATTATAAAGGTAAGTTTATAGAATAGGTTTTAAACACTGACCCATAAATTATCTTTCTTTTAAAGGAGTTTTCTCTTATACTATGGAAAGAAAATGAGATTGTAAAATCTGTTCAATATGTTGGTTGAACGGTGTAGTAAATGTTCTACAGACCTATGAGGCAAAACCACTGGCTTATTCCCTAGAAACAGGTAATAGGTCATTTTACCTTCAAGGCACAAGTAGAAAAACACAAAAAAGTAAACTATGAGCATATGTTATAAAGCATAAAGAATTCAAGCAAGTCAGTCAGGACTTGAGGAGTCCCAAGAGTAAAGAAACGTATTGAGGTCAGGTTAAACTTCTGTGGCAATTTCCTTCTGGAGGCTTGTCAACTAAAAGTGGTAAGGAATTGGGTGGTGGAAAAATTAAGCAGGAAATAGAAGATAAGTGATTGAGAAACTTAAGTGAATCTTCAGCAACCTCACAGGAATGAGACGAAATTAAATCTTCATGGCTACTACAGCAGTTAAAACATGAAAGGCCATGATCAATAAATGTGATTCATCACATAAACAGAACTAAAGACAAAAACCATATGATTATCTCAATAGATACAGAAAAGGCCTTTGCTAAAATTCAACATCCTTCATGTTAAAAACTCTCAATAAACTAGGTATTTAAGGAGCATACCTAAAAGTAACAAGAGGCATTTATGACAAACCCACAGCCAATATCATACTGAATGGGCAAAAGCTGGAAGTTTTTCCCTTGAAAACTGGCACAAGAGAAGGATGCCCTCGCTCACCATCCTTATTCAACATAATATTGGGAGTTCTGGCCAGGGCAATCAGGCAAGAGAAAGAAATAAAGCATATTCAAACAGGAGAGGAAGTCAAATTGTCTTTGTTTGCAGATGGTATGATCCTTTATCTAGGAAACCCCATTATCTCAGCCCAAAAGCTTCTTAAGCTGATAAGCAACTTCAGCAAAGTCTCAAGATACAAAATCAATGTGCAAGAATTACAAGCATTCCTATACACCAACAACAGACAATCAGAGAGCCAAACCATGAATGAACTTCTATTCACAATTGCTACAAAAAGAACAAAATATCTAGGAATACAGCTAACAAGGGGAGTGAAGGACCTCTTCAAGGAGAACTACAAACCCCTGCTCAAGGAAATCAGAGAGGAAAAAAACAGAGAAAAAAAAATTCCATGCTCATGGATAGGTAGAATCAATGTTGTGAAAATGGCCATACTGCCCAAAGTAATGTATAGATTCGATGCTATTCCCATTAAACTACCACTGACATTCTTCACAGAATTAGAAAAAAAAACTATTTTAAATTTCATATGGAACCAAAAAAGAGCCTGCATAGCCAAGACAATCCTAAGCAAAAAGAACAAAGCTGAAAGTGTCATGCTACCCAACTTCAAGCTATACTACAAAGCTACAGTAACCAAAAGAGCATGGTACTGATACAAAAACAGGCACATAGACCAAGGGAACAGAATAAATAACTCAGAAATAAGACTGTACATCTACAACCAACTGATCTGCAAAGAACCTGTCAAAAACAAGAAATGGGGAAAAGATTCTCTATTAATAAATGGTGCCGGGATAACTGGCCAGCCATATGCAGAAAACTGAAACTGGACCCTTTCCTTACACTTTATACAAAAATTAACTCAGAACGAATTAAAGACTTAAATGTAAAACCCAAAACTAGAAAACCCCTGGAAGACAGTCTAGGGAATATCATTCAGGACATAGGTATAGGCAAAGATTTCAGGATGAAAACATCAAAAGCAATTGTAACAAAAGCAAAAATTGATAAACGGCATCTAATTAAACCAAAGAGCTTCTGCACAGCAAAAGAAACTATCATCCACGTGAACAGACAACCTACAGAATGGAGAAAATTTTTGCAATCTCTCCCTCTGACAAAGGTCTAATATCCGATATCTACAAGGAACTTAAACAAATTTACAAGAAAAAAAAAAACAAGCAACCTCATCAAAAAGTGGGCAAAGGACATGAACAGACAATTCTCAAAAGAAGACATTTATGTGGCCAACAAACATATGAGAAAAAGCTCAAAATCACTGATAGTAGAGAAATACAAATCAAAACCCAATGATATACCATCTCATGCCAGTCACAATGGAAATTATTAAAAAGTCAAGGAACAACAGATGCTGGAGAGACTGTGGAGAAATAGGAACACTTTTACATTGTTGGTGGGAATGTAGATTAGTTCAACCAATGTGGAAAATAGTGTGGCAATTCCTCAAAGACCTAGAACCAGAAATACCATTTGACCCAGCAATCCCATTACGGGGTATATTTTCAAAGGAATATAAATCTTTCTATAATAAAGATACATGCACATGTATGTTCGACACAGCACTATTCACAATACCAAAGACATGGAATCAACCCAAATGCCCATCAATGATAGACTGGATAAAGAAAATGTGGTACATATACACCATAAAATAAAATACTACACAGCCATAAAATGTAACAACATGGAGGGAGCTGGAGGCCATTATGCTCAGCAAACGAACACAATAACAGAAAACCAAACACTGCATGTTCTCACTTAAAAGTAGGAGTTGAACAATGTGAACAATGTAAACGCATAGTCAGAGGGAGTGGAACAACACACACAGGGAGAGGGCTGGGGAAGGGAAAGCATCAGGAAAAATACCTAATACATGCTGGGCTTAATACATAGGTGATGGTATGGTAGTTGCAGCAAATCATTATGGCACACATTTACCTATGTAACAAAGCTGCACATCCTGCATATGTACCCTGGCACTTAAAAAAAAAAAAAGAAATTTCAGTTTTGTGCACCAACTTCTTCCTCAAGTCATTATCCAATTCATAAGCATACAGGAATTCAGCAGAGTTTCAAATTAGTTATATAACTTTTTAATAGACAATGTCCAGCCAAAAATATAACTTTGAGGAATTCTAGGAGATGGGACTAAATTTATAAAACACAAAAGAAATAACTGTAGACTTGTAGGTACTTCCAATGTTGGAGTTATCAGGCACTTATTTTAAAATAACTGTGATTAATACTGAAAAATAAATGTCAAGATATAATATTTCATGACAGAAGTCTAAAAAAAGGAAACAATAGTTCAAAAACTAAAAAAAAATAGTACCTGTAATTGAAAATTGAAGAAAAGACTTAATAACAGATGAGAAGTGTTAGAATAGAGGATTACAGCACTAAAAAGTGTGTGGATGGAAAATCTACAGATAGAGGCATGGATGGAAAATACGAAACAGGCCAAGTGCAGTGGCTCACATCTGTAATCCCAGCACTTTAGGAGGCTGAGGCAGGAGGATCTCTTGAGCTCAGTTGTTTGAGACCAGCCTGGGCAAAATAGTGAAACCTCATCTCTACTAAAAATAAAATTGTAAAAAATTAGCTCAGCATGTTGGTGCACGTCTGTAGTCCCAGCTACTCAGGAGGCCAAGTGGGAGGGTCACTTGAGCCCAGGAATTCATGGCTGCAGTGATCTGAGATCATGTCACTGCACTCCAGCCTGGGGGACAGAGTAAGACTCTGTCTCAAAAAAAAAAAAAAAAGAGAGAGAGACAGAGAAGAAAATACAAAACAAAATGAAAGACATTGACTATGAGACACACAAAGTAATGACACTAATTATTTGGAAACCCATAAAGACAGGGGCAAATATATGGGTATATATGGGTTGCTGTCAGTATGGGATGAGAAACTGCTCTGAATATTCTGAGAGTGAGGAAAGACAGTAAGCCACAGATTGAAAAACATAACAAATCTGAAGTTCAATAATACAAAGAAAGTATGCCTAGGTATATTAGAATATAACTGCAAAAATTCCAAGACACAGAAACTATCTTCAAGCAGCCACATTAAGAAAAGACACATTACCCTTAATAGAGCAACAATGAAACTAAAAAGTACTAATTCAGCAGAATGTTTGAAGAATGTAAACAAAACAAAGTAGACTTATTTAAAGAAATAGACAACAATCGCTCAAGTGATAATCTACTTTCTGAAGTGAAAATTTAAAAAAAAAATTGAAACAATAACTGTCAGCAGATCTCCCCTTAAAAATTGCCAAAGTGCGTATTTCAGACAAAAGCATAATAAACTGAAGAGAAAGCAGAGACATTCAGAAGGTAATAAAAAGCAAAGAAAAGCACAGTGAGTATGTTTTAAATAATACAAACTGTATTACAGAAAATTAACCATGCCTGTGGTGTGTAAATTCTATGTAGAATTAAACTATATTTAAAAAGCTGAAGGAGTAAACTGAGTTAAGGGTTCTCATGAACTTGCACTGTTTGGAAAGTAATAACTGTACTAATTTATGTTAGATTTCTCTAAAATTTTTGTTAAAATTTCTAGGGTAACTACTCAAAGAAGAGTAAAATAACACTAACAAGCTAAAAGAAGAAAAATATCAAATGGTAAAATACTTTAATAACACAAAAGAAGGAATTAAAGGAAGGAAAATAAACATAGACTGGGTGGTACAAATACACAAAAAAAAAAATAAGGTGGTAATTTCAAACCCATACGTGAATATATCATTATTTCCATTAAATGTAAAACCAGTAAATACTCCAGTTGCAATATAGTGGTAATAAACATTAAAATTAAATTATTGTCAAAATGTACTTTACAAATGAAGTCCAACCATATGCTGCTTAGAAAATAATATAAAAATAGAAATACAGAAAGATTAAAAGTAAAAGGATACAAAAAATCCAGCATGTAAATATTAACTAAAAGGAGCTTTAGCTATATATCAATATCAAACCAGAACAACATAAGGCAAGCAGGATTAGTAAAGATGAACAGAAATCACTTCTAATTGTAAAAGAATCAACCCAGGAGAAAGACTTAAGTCTAATTTTTCAAAAAATGTTTTTTTAGAGACAGGTTCTCTCTCTGTTGCCCAGGGTGCAGGGGGTATGGTGCAATCATCTCTCAAGGAAGCCTCAAACTCCCAAGCTCAAGGGATCCTCTTGCCTCGGGCTCCAAAAGTGCTGGGATTACAGGCATAAGCCACCACATTGGGCCTAAAGTTTTTTTTGTTTTTTTTGTTTTTAATATATCTAAATAAGATAGTCTTAAATTTTATGAAGCAAAATTTCACAAAATGAAAAGAGAAATGGATATATCAAAAATCATAACATATTTAAATGAGTTTGTCCATTACCTTAGAATAATCAGGCAGACAAAAACAGGAAAGGATATAGAGCTGGGTTTGCCAAACTATGGCCCATGGGTCGAATCTGGACCACTCACCTGTTTTTGTATGACCCATAAATTAAAACAGGTTTTTATATTTTAAGAGGTTAAAAAAAGTAAAAAGGACAACAATATTCTGTGAAACATGAAAATTATATGAAATTCAAATAGAACTCTCTGTAAATAAAGTTGGGAGATTTATACTACTGCATAGCAAGTCTTTTTTTAAAGCCACAGTAATTAGGACAGAGTGTCTTGGTACAGGCTTGAAAAAATAAAGACATGGAAAAAAAAGAGTCCAGAGATAGCTCCTCTCAGATACAGACATTTGATTTAAGACAAACTTCAGAAAACTGGAAAAAGAATGATCTCAAAAAATGATTGAATATATACATAGGGAAAGAAAAAAATCTAAGCACAACATAAAATTTGGTTTTGGGAGGCTGAGGTGGGCGGATCACGAGGTCAGGAGTTCGAGACCAGCTGTACCAACATGGTGAAACCCCGTCTCAACTAAAAATACAAAAATTAGCCGGGCGTGGTGGCACGAGCCTGTAAACCGATCTACTCAGGAGCTTGAGGCGGGAGAATCGCTTGAACCCGGGAGGCGGAGATTGCAGTGAGCCGAAATCGTGCCACTGCACTCCAGCCTGGGTGACAGAGTGAGATTGTCCCGAAAAAAACAAAAAATAAAATAAAATAAATCTTCATGTAAAAGGTGGAAATGCAAAAATTAGAATAGGATTGCTCAACAGCAATATTATTTACATTTTACATGGAATAATTCTTTAGAGAGGGAGTTGCCCTTTGCATTGTAAGCTATTCAGTGTCATTCCTGAACTGTACTCATTAGATGTCTCTAACATGAATCCCCACTTGTGACAGTCAAACACATTTCCAGCACAGCTGAATATGTGTATATTTAAGTGTGTATGTGAAATCGTCCCTGGTTGAGAACCACTGTTTTAGAAGTTATGGGAATACAATGACTTTTGAGTAGGTAAAATTTTCCTATACTATACAGGAAAAAAAAAAAAAAAAAGTAAATGATAATCAAATATATTGTTAGAGTACATTAAATTAAAACCTGTTCTTCCAACAACCCCATTAAGTGAGTATGCAAACTACAAAAATCAAAGATATTGACAACATATATAAAACAAAGTATGTATTCAAGATTACACAAAGAATTTGTACAAATAAATTGAGTAAAGAAAGATAACACAACACTCTTATTTCTCACACATATACACATTCATATATACACACAAAAGCAAGTGCCCAATAAATTACAAATTATATGAAAGTGTTTCAAAGTCATTAGTAATCAAGGAAATGTAAATTAAAACCAAAGTAAGATATCACTAATATTATTATCACTACACACACACCAAGAATGGCCACAATTAAAGACTGACACCACCAATTGTTGCCAAGAGTTTGAATCAAATGTTGTCATACAGTGCTGGTGGGGATGCAAATTAAAACTAAGACTTTGAAAATCTTTTTGAAATTATCTACTCAAGCTGACCTTGTAGCAGCAATTTTACTCCTAGTTATATACTCAACAGAAAGAAGGCTTACAAGTGAGTGCGTAAATTCACGTATAAGAATCTTCATAGCAGCATTATTTTTAATAGCTAGAAACTAGGAAGAGCAGAATTGCTCATCAACAATAGAATAGATGTGCATTATATAATGAAGTATGCATCATCAGTTAAAAAAATTAAATTCTAATAAATTCAATAATATGATTAAACCTCAAAAACAATGCTAGTCAAAAGACACAAATGTGGAACACGTCTGTATAAAACCTGAAAACCAAGCTGCCAGTTCCCGATAGAGTCCCTGACTGGAGTAATAACTTTTATCCCCATCTTATCTACTCTCACTCGATTGGTTCCTTTGGAATGATGCCTTTTAACCAACCCAATGGTGCTTTTTCCAAGACCACCCATAGACCAATCAGCACACACTCCCCCATTCTAAGCTCAGATAAAGCCCGGACTCAACCTCATAGACAGCTACCAACTTCAGGGTCCCCTCTCAGAGCTGCCGGCTTTCTTTTTGTTGCTCAGTAAAATTCTACCCTGTCTTACTCACTCTCTGGTATCCACGTACCTTATTTTTCTTGGTTGCAGACCAAGAACCCAGAACTCGCCAAACTGCAGGAGCGAAAGAGTTATAACGCTCCTGCTCACCAATCTGCAGGCAGCAGGAATAAAAGAGCTGTCCCGCTTGTCTAACAGTGAGAGAGAAGCCACTGGGCACCGCTCCCCCGGCTTGCTGAACTACGGAGTGAAAAAGCTGCAACAATTCTAAACATTCAACATTATTTAAATTTTAACATAATTATAAATAAGCATTTTTTGTTCTCAGTTCAGAATCAGCTATTGTGCTAAAATTACATATCTTAAGTTCAAAATTATAGAATTGTTGTCAAAGGAGAATATTCCTTACATAAAATATAAATGGCGTTCTCATTTTATTATAATGCATCAACTGCTCAAAAGCCATGTCATATTTTATTTGCTTTATATTTGGACCATAACTAGATAGTAAATATATAATATGTATTTTTTCAGTGGCATTCCACTTGACTTGCTTTTTCCCTATTGGGAAATGAAACTTATGCCTTTTTCACCATAGTATGAAGATCTTCCAAGATCTGACTTTAGTCTATTCAATAAAATTTATTTTATTGTACTTTTTTTTTTTAACGGAATTCTCAGTCTGTTTTAGTCTAGTTCTAATTTAGACTAATTAGGTTAAGGATGATATCAGAATTTTCATCCTGGGATTTCTTTTTATTGTATTCTTTGCTCAGGTTCTCTATTTTTTGGAGCTCACATATTCTATATTCTAGTATGGATTTCTCCTGTTATGAAGAGTCCTTTAGAAATTAATTACTTGAGTCCTTACATGTCTGGTGATATCTTCAGTTTTCACATGTCTAATAGATAGTTTTGCTGGGTATCAATGTTTAAGTTCAAAATAATTTTCTTTTACACTTTAGCTCATTGTTTTTATGGCACTTAGTATTCCTGGTAACAGATCTGATGCCACTCAGATTCTTTTTCTCTTTGAATACATTTTTTCCCTATCTTTGAGGGACACAGGGATTTTCTTAGTCATTGATTTACTGAAATTAAACCAATATGTAAAAAAGTCAGTCTGTTTTAATTTATCCTTCTTGATACAGCATGTCTTTTCCCCTAAAGATTCAAGTCTTTCTATATTCTTAGAAAATATTCTTAGAAAAATTCTTAAAAAATATTCTTCTATTATTTGTTTGATTATTTTTTTAAACTACACTTACCATTTCTTTCTGGAACTCCTTTTAAGTGTATGTTAGCTATCATAGTTTTATTCTATATGTATTTTATATCTTTTCTGTTGTGCCATTTATTTTAGGTTTTTCTCAACATTCTGAGAAAAATCTAAATCTTCTAAAAACGCTGAGAAGATAATCTTTCCTCAACATTCTGAGCAAGAACCTAATCTTTCAGGTTTTTTGCTGCTACTTTTATTTCTGTATGTATTTTTAAATTATGTTACTTATAAAACTTGTCACTTATTACTTAAAAGATAAATAGCATTTAAAATGCCCTCTTCAAATATTTCAATTGAAAATAATAATTAAAAAATTGACTTGCAATACTCTTCAAATTTTAAGTTATGTTTCACAGATGATAAATGACATATTCTAACATTTTTCAGAAATAACTTATATTTTAACATTTTTGATTGTAATCCATAGAAAAACTATATGTGAGATCTTAAAAAGGTATTCCATGAAAAAGGGTCTTGTGGGAAAAAGTTTTTCAGACATGTTACATCAGACATGTTTTTCAGACATGAATGTCTATATAGTCTTATTTTTTTTGTGAAATATTTATTAATATTTTACGAACATATTTTATGCTGGGTCATTTTTTGATGCTTATTAATGTTTTCTGATATACTGGATAGAACAGTTCGAATAATGTTTCCCTAATATAGTAAGTGTAGAAAAGTGAGTAAAAATCCAAGTGAAATTGCTTTGCAAAAGTATAGTTGTGATAATATGAAAAGAAAATAATAGGCCAGGCACAGTGGCTCACACCTATAACACCAGCACTTTGGGAGGTTGAGGCAGGTGGATCATTTGAGGTCAGGAGTTCGAGACCAGCCTGGCCAACATGGTGAGACCCCCATCTCTACTAAAATTACAAACATTAGCTAGGTGTGGTGGTGCATGCTTATAATTCCAGCTACTGGAGAGGCTGAGGCAGGAGAATCACTTGAACCTGGGAGAAGGAGGTGGCAGTGAGCCGAGATCATGCCACTGTACTCCATCCTGGGAAACAGAGTGAGACTCTGTCTAAAAATAAAGAAAATAATAAAAGAGATGTATTCTGATATTAAATAGTGTGTTCTTTAAAGTGTTTATTGAGCTTTGTCATACTGTCTGAAAGCATTTAGGAAAGAAATCTTTTCTCATATTTTAAGAGAGAGAGTTTTTTTGGCAATGGAATATATTTAACATATTTAACAATAAGCAATAAAATAGAACCTTTTTGACAGAGATATTAAACGTTAAGTTTGAGTCACTTTGTGTCATTGAACACTTAATTAAGAAGAGAGCTCAGGCCAGCTATTCTTGGAAAGTTGTAGGTGTGACTCATGAAGCAGAGTTAAGGATGAAAGGAAGCCATTTCTTTTAAAAAAAGTTGATGTTTGTAACAGTTTAAAAATTTTCTTTGTTTCTTTTATCTCTCTCTCTTTCTCTTTTTCTTTCTTTCTTTCCTTCTTTCCTTCTTTCTTTCTTTCTCCTTTCTTTCTTTCTTTCTTTCTTTCTTTCTTTCTTTCTTTCTTTCTTTCTTTCTTTCTTTCTTTCTTTCTTTCTTCTTTCCCTTCCGTCCTTCTCTCTCTTTCTCTTTCCCTTCCTTCCTTCCTTCTCTCTCTTTCTTTCTTTCTGTCTTCCTTCCTTCCTTCCTTCCTTTCCTTCCTTCTTCCCTTTCTTTCTTTCCTCTTTCTTCTCTCACCTTCCCTCTTTTTTAAAAAAACATTTTAACAGTTCTTAATTTTCTAAATTTGAGACAAGTACTATTGATAAAATACAGCAATTACTGTTTTTCAAGTAGCCGTTGCGAAAAACTTGAAATTGACTATACATATATGAAAATTAGTCCTAATATTTTCATACTGTTTTACTTTAGTTAATTTATGTCAGTTTTTATCACTTATTTTTGAATTTCATTGCTGTTCACAGTTTCATAGAAAATGATGCTATGACTTCTCAGTCAAATACATGATTATTGAATATATGTAGAGGCACAGAAATAAAGTAACAGAATGTAATTTGATGTATCAGTAAAGAAAATACCTGCCAAGGAAGAAGAGCTACAATTCCATATTTACTTGCAAAACAGCAATGTGTTTCACAAGACTTACAAAGAGAGGTGCTGAGAAGTAGCTGAAGCTCTGGTATGTTTTGTTACTGAGATAACTGTAAGTGGATTGGCTAGAACAGTGAGGCAATGAAACTGGAGGCAGAAAGATAGAAAAACTCCCTGGAAACTTTAGAAAGAAATTTCAAAGCAACAATATGCTGGAGTGAGGGATCTTGTGAAAGCATCACTAAGACATTGTGTTATTGCTTAGTTGGCAATATTAGAATTATTTTGTGGTGGTACCTATGAGAGTGAGTCATCTCTTAATTGGGGGCAGCTTAGATTTGATTAAGTATATAATAGTAATTATTATACATTGCATTTTTAAAAGTCTCTATTTCTTGCGTCCATATTTTGAATATTTTTGGTATAATAAATCTGTACCTGTAACATTGATTCAATACTCTAATTAACTTTGTCTTTCCTTCAAATCACTAATCACCTAAACTGAAGTACCATATCTTTCTCTTTATATTTTATAAAGGGAACAATTTTAACCATATGTATAAAGATAAAATTAATTAGGGTATATGTAATAGACATTAATATAATCTATCTTCCATTTTATTTGGTATGTGCAGAAATATGAACTGAGGAAGAGCTTTATACTTAACTTTTTCCCTGTATCTAAATGGTAGCAGTCGGTTCAAATGACCAATGGACATGTCTGAGTTTTTTAGATGGTATGGTAAATTATTATTTTAGTACATTTTATTTGAAAATCATTTTCGTCAAAATTATATTGAATAAGCTATCAGCAATGATTAAGTGAAAGGAATATTGGCAGTAAAAGGAAAGAAAGTTCAGGCACATTTTAGAGAAACAATATATGTTAGATTTAATAGAGTATAGGGAATTGTGTGATTTTTGAGTTTATGAAATACTTATTATATTTTATTTAAAACCTAAAATAAGGTTCCACCATCTATATGTTTCTGCTTTAGATGTTTAACAAACACAGGAAATGAACAGCAATGAACACCTTTTCTGTTGGTTAACTGAAACAATGGCTGGATTTAGAATCAGAGTGCTTGGGTGTTAGTTTTTCTTTGTCATGTTTGATTTTGCCTCTCTTACTACCCTGAGATCTCAACTCTGATGTGGATTTAATAAGGAAAACAGTACTGACCTCATAAGGCTATTGTCAAGATCAGAATAGGGCAACGTGTGCAAAGGGGCTTTGTGAACTTTATCAAACAATTACAAGAGAGATGTTGACCTGTGACAACCATGAAGTCGTTAATGTAGTTGTTGTTGCTGCCACCAAGTGGCTGGAGGGTAAGGAAGAGGAAAGGATAAGGGACAGACAAGATTCAGAAATGTTGAGCCTTATGTGCTATCCTAAATAATTTGGATTTTATCCATAGGACAAGGAAAAGCTACCAAAAAGTTTTAAGTGGAGGATTAATATAGTGTGATTTGCTTAAAAAAAACAAAAACTTTACATGACTTACTGATGTTATTGGGATATTTGCAACTACCCGTCTGAACTGGATTTCTCTAATACAAAATAAAGGTAGAAAAGTTTAGTGTCAGCAAAGAACAATTGAGAACAGCTCTGCCAGTGAAATAAAGATTCGGATTTATCAAAGGAAACTCAAACTAATTTTTTAAATGTGCCCAATTGTATACATGGAACACTACCTATTTGCATTATCCTAATTTTAAACTAGGAGATTTTTAGAAATCAATGAGTGTATCTAATAAACAAGATTTAGAAAAGCAGTTACATCTTTATTTTCATATCTATATACGTATTTATTTTTATCACAGAAATAAGTTTAAATTTTATTGCCTTTTGTTGGTAAATGACTAAGTTAAATGGCCATGTTACAATATCCTAAAGATGCTTCAAACTATGCTCTATGGGGTAACTTATAAAAGGCCCAGGGCTATCTCTAGCATTTGGAAATATCTTGAAATGTTTATTAATGGCCTCATAAACCATGTTCATCCTGTTTTTCTGCTGAATTCTTGGCAATTGGAAAAAAGACACTCATTTCATTGCTAGATGTGATCACAGAGGATTCTAAAAGCATATACCTTGCTAAATTCTGATACATACATATGAATTATGAATTTTTAAATCATCAACAAAGATCAGTGTACAGAATTGACTATAAATCACTCTCTCTGGGATTGAGAATACATAATTTTTATGTCCACAGGTAAAGGAAATTTTAAAATGAAATCAGTGGCAATGTTTGAATATGTTGTCAGCATTTGTTTATTTAGAAATTGAAAATCAAATTTATATAATCATCATCTCTTCTAATGAGATGAAAGGCTGTTTTTACATTTTACTGAAACTAAAAAACATAGACATGTGTAGATAGAAAGAATATTGATACTTTATTCCTATTCTAGTTGCATGGATAGCTACATCACATATAGGCAATTAATTAAGTAATTAAATAATTATTCACTTTATTTTTAACAACTATTTTTGGCTATGGAGCGAGATACTATGGATGCAACATTGAGCAAAAGTAGACATGGTCCCACCAGTATCACGACAAGGTCTACACTTAATGGCGCAGCAAATTTGGAGAACATTTTTGAAAATTTTTTCAATCGTTTATGAATTACTACACAAATGACAGATGTGGTTAGAATCTCAGAAGACTAGAAACATCATAAGCATAGTGATGCGTTAATTAGAGTTCTCATATGTAAATAATAGTATTTCAGTTTCTAGGGAGAAAATAGTAATTTTTATGAAGACTGCATTCAGTCTATAGATCAATTTTGGGAAAATTGACATCTGAACAATATAGTCTCATGCAATGTATTGACATGATATATTTATATATTTCTCCATTTATTTAGGTGTTTTTAATTTCTCTCAACTATGTTTGGTACTGTTAATTTTACAGGTGTTATACTTATTTTGTTAAAATTACTACAAATTATTCCATGTTTAATGATGGTATTACTTTTAAATTTTATTTACGCACTCTTTTTTTTTGCTAATATATAGAAATTCAATTGCTTTTGCATATCAATCTGGTATCCAATAATCTTTCCAAACTCACTGGCTATTTCTAGGATATTTTTGTAATTTTAAGGATTTTTAAAAATAGATGATTAAGATATTTGTGCATGTAAATATTACTCAATCATTTCTAGTTTGTATATTTTATTTATTTTTCTTGAATCACTTCTCTACCCCAGCAACTTCATTTTAATCCTTTCTTTTCCCTAATATTTTCCCAATATTCTTGCCTTCCCCAATAGAGAGGAAAAGAATTCAGTCTTTCAACTATGTATTTTGTTTACTCTTGGATTTTAGTAGATGTTTTATATAAGATTTCATGTGGCAGAAATCCAAGATTTCCAGGATGATCTCCACACCTTAATGTTATAACCAATACAATCTTTTTTTTTTTTTTTTTTTTTGAGCATAGGCAGGACTTGTGGCTTGCCTCTAATTAATGGAATATGGCATAGATGATGGGATATCACAACCATGATTGGGTTATAATGTATTAGTCCCTCTTACTTATAAATGGTAGAAGCTTTCCAATGGACCTTGCAAAGGCAAGGTGCTATGACAGACAGACAGGGCCACATGTCAGGCAAGCAAGAGTGACCTGTAGGATCTGACAGCCTCAGTCCCAGACTGTAAGAAACTGAAATCTGCCATAACAACATGAATTTGAAAGAGAACCCTGAGCTCCAGAATACACAACTGAAACCTTGATTGAAGCTTTATGAGATACTGAGCAGGGGACTCAACTAAGTTGTGTACAGACATCTGACCCATAGACACTTTGATATAATAATTGGTGTTCTTTTAAGCTGCTAAGCTTGTGATAATTTCCCACACAGCAATAGAAACTAAATATACAGATAAAATATTTTTTCTTGTATTCTCTTTTTAAAAATTAATTTTGGAGATTATTTTCAATTTTCTGAAATATTTTGTATGGGATTATATTATTTATTGTTTAAATATTTGAAATGAATAACCAGTAATGCCTCTGGGTCTAGATTTTTCTTTGTTGGAAGGTTTTCTGCTACTAATACAATTAAAATCTAGAAAAATCAGCATTTTAATTAATGGTGTTGGTAATTTGTGTTCTTACTCTTTTTTCTTTTATTGCAATAGCTAGATAATGAACAATTTGGCTGATGTGTTCAAAGAATTTGCTTTTGGTTTTATCAAATTTTTCCCCATTATTGTCACTTTTCTGTCATCAATGTCTGCTCTTTTTTTATTATTACCTTACTTTTACTCACTTTGGGCTTAATTACTACTTGTTTTTCTAGATTCTTAAAATGGAAGATTAGACCAAATAATTAAGACCTTTCTTCTCTTTACCATAAACATTGAAAGCTGTAAACTTCCAACTCAGTATTGGGTTAGCCACAGAACAGTTTTTAAGATGTTTCATTATGTATTATTTCATATTTTTACATTTCCCTTTGATGTTTTTCTTGGACTTCAAGTTATCAACCAGTGTATTTTTTAATTTTACATATTTAGGGGTAACCTAGTTATCTGTCTATTTTTGATTACTAATTTAATCCCATTATAGTCAGATAATTGTTATTTTATGCTATTTGTTTTATGACCCAGCATATGGCATATATTTTAAAATATTTTACAAACTTAAAAATTATGCATAGACTACTGTTGCAGCATAGCGTATAATACAAATTAAGTCAACATAATTGGTGTTATCACTCAAATTTTCTATGTATTTATTGATTTTGGATCTACATAGTCTATCAATAATTGAGAAAAGACAGACAAAATTTCCAACTGTAATTCTAAAATGTGTCCTCTTTTCTTTCTGATTCTAACAATTTTTTTACTTTTAAAAGTATTGTTGTTAGTGCATACTCATTTAGGATGTGTTTATGTCTCTTGATAAATTAACTTTCTTATAATTACATGTCCTTCTTTATCCATGTTATTATTTTTAAGTTTCTCATTACCTAATATTGGTATTCCCACTTACATTCTTGATTATTAGACTTTGCATGGTATATTGACTATACCCATCCTTTCTTTTAACATGACTATACCTCAATATTTAAAATAATTTTCATATAGACAGCATATAATTGGCTCTTACTTTCTTATATAGACCTACAACTGGAATGTGCATATCACTTATATTTTGTATAATTTTCAATATATTTGGGCTATGCATACAATTGTATTTGCATTCTATTTGTCTTCCTTTTTCTCTGTCCTTTTTTTCTTTCAAAGTAATTATTTTTCTCCTCAATTATGTATCTAGTATTGACTTAGCCATATTCTTTTGTTTTATTTTTAGGGTCACTGTTATATAATTTTAAAATGCTTTATCTTATCATATTTGTCCAATATTTATAGTTCACTGCTTGATGTATAATACAATAATATGTATAACATATATGTTTAATACGTATAACATGAATTTTACAACTTCCATTTCTGCCCTTGTTCTTTGTGTTATTTTTACCATACATTTAATAGATGTCTTGAGAGGCCTACAATACAGTTACTATGTTTTGGTTTTAATAGTCATCTTTTAATGAACTAAAAGATGGGGAAAAAGTCTTTAATATTTATTTACCGCACACTCAGAAATAGCATTCTTCATGGTCTACTGTAGTTCTGTGTTTCCACCTGGTATGTTTTCTTCAGCCAGGGAAGAACTTTCCTTAATATTCCTTCTAGTGTATGTCTGCTGGCTCTGAATTCCCTTAGGTCTTGTTCGCTTGAGAAATATTTCACTTTTAGTTTGGAAAGATATTTTCCTATATATAAATTAAGGTTTGGTAATTTTTGTCAGCAACTTAATTAGTTTGTTTCACTCCTTGTTTTCTTCATTTCTAATGAAATGTCTATAACCATTCTTATTTTTGTTCTCAAATGTTTAGTGTGGCTGCTTTAACATTTTTCTTTTTTAGCATTGTATATCAACAGTTTGATTTAGATTTTTCTTAGTGTAACTCTATGTTTATTCTGCTAGAGACTTTCTGAGATTCTCAACACAGGGGATATAGCGTTCACTAAATTTGGTATAGTTTGGGCACCGTTTTTCAAATACTTTTTTGACTTTCTACTTTGCTCTCCTCTTCTTCTGGAATACAAATTACATATAAATTAGAATACTTGCTACAGGCCACTGAGGCTTGGATTAATTTATTTGTCTATTTAAAAAAATATATCTTTGTGCTTCAGTTTAGATATTGCTAGGGACTGAATTTTATCTCCTCAAAATTCACTTGTTCAAGCCCTAACTTCCAATGTGACTGTATTTGGAGATAGGGTTGAAAAGGAGGTCATGAGGGTGGGGGCTGGATACAATAATGTCAGTGTCTTTCTGGGAAAAGACACCAGAGAGCTCCATCTCTCCACACATGCATGCAGAAAAGAAAGGCCATAGGAGGACACAATGAGCAGACAGCTGCTGCAAGCCAGGGAGAGGGTCCTCACCAGAAACTGGCCAGGCTGGCTCTCTAATCTTGAACTTCCAACCTCTAAAACTGTGGGGAAATACATTTCTCTTATTCAAGCCACCCAGCCTGTGCTGTTTTGTTATGGCAGCCTGAGCTGGCTAATATAGGTATTCTCTATTGCTTTTTATTTGAATTTATTGGTGATTTGACCTACTGTGATATAGCTGCTAAAGTTACCCAGTGGATATTTTAATTTTGATATTATAAATTTTATCTCTAGAAGTTCCATTTGGTTCTTATTTAAATATTTTTATGTATCTTTTGCATTATGTTCTTCTATAATAGTTCGAATATTGCAGTGGCTTAGTGATGTGCCTGTGCCGCTGAGCTAAACTACATTTCTCAGAATTCCTTTCCTGCATTTTCCAGTTAGAATAGGCAACAAGAAAGTTTCCTGTGGGGAATTGAAAGGTAGAAGTGAAGTGGCAGTCTTTTTGCAGCTCGTACGCATCATTGCTTATCCACTGCCTCACCTCCTTTGTGGAGAGAAGTGGTCAGGTTTGCAACTGCCCCAACTTCTCTGTCATTCTCCTAAAGCTTCTTTGACTCCTGGGCCAGAATTGTGTATGGTTAGATCTGTGGTAAAGGGTCCCAGCTTTTTCAGGACATTTACCACTTAAGGTCAGAGTCACTAAGAATTGATGACAGTTTTAGTCCATCTCATTCATTTCTTGACTTCCTGCTCTGTGGACTACATACAGCATCAGACCTGAAGACAACAGTCAGACAGAGACTGCTTAGACAGCTCCCACTATTGCATACGTCAATCCCTAAAATAAATAAGTATATAAGTAAACTTATATATACTTATGTGTGTGTACACTTGTTATATGAAACAAATATTTAAACATTTCTAATAGTTCTATTTAAGTTCTTGTATGGTAAATCTATCCTTTTTTTAATTTCCTTATTTTACTTTATTTTTAATGATTTTTCTCATGTGGCTCACAGGTCTGTTTTTTTACCTAGCTAGTGATTATTTTACTAGATCCCAGATATTGTACATTATTTTTTGTCAAGTGTTTAGATTTTGTTGACTTCTTTTAAAGACTATTGAAGTTTGCTTTGGGAGGTAGATAAGTTTTAAAAGGAGGCTTTTGTGGTTTTTTTATTGTTTATTTTTATTTTTTGGATCTGAAGTGGAATTTACTCAAGGGCCAATATAGCTCTGTTAGCCAGTTGTGAAACGTCTGAGGCTTCTATTAATTATCTCAAGTATTCAACAAGATTTTTTTACTCTCTCTGGACACTGACTGTCTTCCATCCTTGTGTGTGGCCTGGGAATTAATATTCTTACAATTTGTTTGCAGTCGATATTGCTTGACTTTGTGGAGTTTCACCCTGTGCACATGCAGATTAATATTCAGTCAAGAAAAACGGGAACCACTATATGTATTTTTGAGTTCCCTCCTTACTGTTGCTTTACCCCGCAAATTGCAGCATTCCCAGTCTTCCCAAACTACAGTCTGTCTCTTCAAGACAAGACTGTATTGCTTGCTTTGCTTCTCTTCTCGCTCTGTAATCCAGAACTTACCTTCAGACAAAAAGACAGAGCAATTCAGTGTGGATCTGTCTCTCAGGAAGCATAATGCTGTAATTCATATCATTCCAATGAGTGAAAACATTGTTTCAGACCTTTAGTCCAGATTTCTAGTTGTTTACATTGGGAGAAAATCTGTATACCAGTTACTCCTTTATAAAATTTGTAATAAGCGTTGATTAGGGAAAAATAAAAACGCAAAGAACATTTATTTCTGTATTTTTTTTTTGCTCTGATTCAGAAATAGTATTAATGCGGGATGAAATTGAGAAAACAGGCATGAACATGAAAGAAAAAATTTTCTAAGAAGCAAAGGAGTTTTGCCCATCTAAGAGGTGGTCAGTTAAATATTTTAAAATAACAAAATAGGGATTAAAAAACAGGTGGCTTATGCACAGACATTAACCACTTTTTCTCTCAACATCCCACAAAAATTATGGTACAGAAATATAGAAAATACAAGAGTTTATAGGAAAGGACATGAAAGCAGATGAAAAATTTGGCGATTTTTTTTGAATTATACAGTGCAGTAGAATCATAAACTAATTTAACTAATAATTTTTTTACTGTAAATGTATTTTGAGAGAGATAAACAACCAAGCTTATTTGTCCTATTGTACTTCTGAAAACCTTAGCGCTTTAAGAAGCATTTCAGTGGTGATAGTTTGGGGACAATGAGGTCAATTTTTTGTTGGTTTATTAGCTTTTGCTATAAGAAAGACATTTAAATGCATTTGGGCAAATTCTTTAAATATAAACAGAATATTTTGTTTCTGAATCTACGTGAAAAATTGTCATTTGTACAAAAAAATTTGACACTCAACATTGCTAGAACTGGTCCACATATTTTCATTTTTCCTCAAACTGAGCCTGTATATACAAACTAAGAGATAATTCATATAACTATAGCTATGTTTAAAGATGTGTGGGTGAGTACCAAAATGTCTTCTGACTACTTTCTTTAACATTTCCAAATTAATATTTACTTGTTCTCTTTTTATAGCATGCACAATTTCTTTCAATAAGCAGTATTTATAAGCAATAGCAAGATTTTATGAATTAATTACTTTAGACTGATTCAGACTTTGTAATAGCCTGACTATAGGTTTTTAAAACTATTTGGCTTCCAAGTTGAGCCACCAAAAAGGAAATATAAAGCAATGGTTGTTAACTTGAAAACCTAGGTCTCAATTTTCTTTTCGGATATAGTTAAGAACATTGATCTGAGGAACTATCCCATAGTTTGAGAAAATATATTCTTACATCTTTCAGTTTATAGCTATAACTACCAGAGTCAACTCTCCCTCCTTCCCCACTGGAATGGAACTGCAAAATATATTTCTGTAGCTGCTATAAAATTATTCACTTATAAGAACAAGAGAGCTTTAATATAATGCTGTTCTCAGAATCCTGATGGGCAGTACAGTGCAATGAAGGGAACTTCTGGTGTTTGTGGTAATCAAATCCCTTGGAGAGGGTCCAAAGTCCATTTGCCTAATGCTGAATTGTGTTCAAAATGCTGTTATACTGAAATTTTAGTCTATTCCACAAGAACAGATGCCTGCTGTTTTGATTTTTCAGGTTTTCATAGGAGATTGGCTATATCTACTCATTAAATGGCAGGACAAGTCAGAAAATACCATAGGCCATAAATTCTTCATTTAAATTGATTAAAAGCAAACTCAATATAGTAACATAATCAGAAATATGTATAATTCCAGTCTTTACAAATTGTTTTGGCAGATTGATGAAGACTCTGAATCTGAATTTGACTGTAAGTCAAAACCAGAACAAATTTTATAGTATTTTATGAAACCATGCATGCCAACACAAATGAATTCATTATTTTTCAATTATATTGAGAAATAGATATTAAAATTTGCCATCTAGAATGCCACCTTTATATTTAAATCTATATTATGACTGTGTTTCAATATATCAATATTAAAATAATATTTTTGTATAACTATGATAGTAATAATTTCTGATTCAAATACCAAAAAAAGATAGTTCATTTTTATTTAGTGATTAGTGATAGATTGATAGATAAGTATGATAGGTAGATAGAAAATTTCTGCTAGTAACTTGAGATTTTCTTTCTGATCAAAAAGAAAGGCATGGATCTTTTGGAAACAACAATAGCCCATGTTGATACTACATTTTTGCTGAAAGAAGTTGAAAAACAGTGCAAAAGTGATCATTACATATTCAATTCTGTTCAATTGTTCTCTTGCTGATGTTTATCAGGCGATAATTAATTTGCTTTTGATTCCTTAGCTAATTCACCACATGGGATTTTCTTTGTATCCTTTTCAATGTCCTAAACTGATAATCACTTTGCCTTTTATGCAGTTTAAACTAGTAGAAAGACCATAAAGTTTGGTTTCAGAAAATCAGGATTTTAATTAAGATTTTTTCATTCATTAGCTGTGTTGTTTGTTTAAGTCACAGCCCTATGTCTCTCTGGTTTAATCTGTAAATAATAATAGTGCTAACAGTATTAGTCTGTTTTCACACTGCTGTGAAGAAATACCCAAGATTGGGTAATTTGTAAAGGAAAGATATTTAATTGGCTCACAGTTCTGCAGAACTAGGGAGGCCTCTGGAAACTTACCATCATGGCAGGAGGAGAAGCAAACACCTCTTTCTTCACATGGTGGCAGGAAGGTGAAGAATGAAAGCCGAGTGAAGGGGGAAGCTCCTTATACAACCATCAGATCTCTTGAGAACACACTCAATATATCAAAAGTAGCATGGGGGAAACAGCCCACATGATTCAATTAACTCCCCCTGGGTTCCTCCCACTACACATGGGGATTATGGGAAATACAACTCAAGATGAGAATTGTGTGGGGACACTGCCAAACCATATCATTCTGCCCCTAACCCTTCCAAGGTCTTATGTCCTCACATTGCAAAACACAATCATGTCTTTCCAACATTCCCCCAAAGTCGAAGCCCATTCCAGCATTAACCCAAAGTCTAAGTCCAAAGTCTCATCTGAGGCAAGGCAATCCCTTCCACCTATGAGCCTCTAAAATCAAAAGCAAGTTAGTTACTTCCTAGATACAATGGAAGTACAGGCATTGGGTAAATACACCCATTCCAAATGGGAAAAATTGGCCAAAATGAAGGGGCTACAGGCCCAACCCAAGTCCAAAACCCAACATGAGGTAATTACATCTTAAAGCTCCAAAATAATCTTCTTTGTCTCCATGTGACACATCCAAGTTATGCTGATGCAAGAGGTGGGCTCCCACAGCCTTGGGCAGCTCCGTCCCTGTGGCTTTGCAGGGTACAGCTCCACTCCTGGCTGCTTTCATGGGGTAGTGGTGAGTGTCTGTGGCTTTTCCAGGTGCACAGTGCAAGCTGTGGGTGGATTTACCATTTTGGGGTCTGGAGTATGGTGGCCTTCTTTTCACAGCTCCACTAAGCAGTTCCCCAGTGGGAACTCTGTACTGGGGCTTCAACCCCGTAATTCCCTACCACACTGCCCTAGCAGACATTTTCCATGAGGGCTCTGCCCCTGCAGCAAACTTCTGCCTGGACCTCCAGGCATTTCCATACATCATCTGAAAGCTAGGTGGAGATTCCCAAACCTCAATTATTAACTTCAGTGCACCCACAGACCCAATACCACATGTAAGCCACCAAGGCTTAGGGATTGCATCCTTTAAAGCAACAGCCTAAGCTGTATGTTGGCCCCTTTTAGCCACAGCTGGAGCTGAAGCAGCTAGGATGCAAGGCACCATATCTTGATGCTTCATAGAGCAGGGGGGGCCTTAGGCCTGGCTCACAAAACCATTTTTCCCTTCTAGGCCTCCTGACTTATCAAGGGAGGTGCTACTCTGAAGGGACATGCCCTGGAGACATTTTCCCCATTCTTTTGGTGATTAATATTCAGTTCCTTATTACTTACGCGAATTTCTACAGTGGGCTTGCATTTCTCCCTAGAAAATGGTTTTTCTTTTCTATTGTATCATCAGCCTGCCAATTTTCCAAACTTTCATGCTCTGCTTCCTCTCGAAATCTTTGCCACTTAGGAGTTTCTTCTGCCAGATACCCTAAATTATCTCTCTCAAGATCAATGTTGTACACATCTCTTGGGTAAGGGCAAAATGCTGCCAGTCTCTTTGTATAGCAAGAATGACCTTTATTCTGTTTCCCAAAAGTTCCTCATCTCCATCTGAGACCACCTCAGCCTGGACTTCATTGTCCACATCACTATCAACATTTTGGTCAAAGTCATTCAAGAAGCTCCAGAAAGCTCCAAACTTTCCCACACTTTCCAATCTTTTTCTGAGCCCGCCAAACTGTTTTAACCTTTGCCTGTTACCCGTTCCAAAGTCACTTTTATATTTTGTTTTTTTAAAAAAATATTATTATTATTTTTGAGATGAAGTCTTGCTCTGTCACCCAGGCTGGAGTGTATTGGCACGATCTTGGCTCAATGCAACCTCCACCTCCTTGGTTCAAGCGATTCTTCTGCCTCAGCCTCCTGAGTATCTGGGACTACAGGCACACGCCACCACATGTGCCTAATTTTTGCATTTTTAGTAGAGACGGGATTTCACCATATTGGTCAGGCTGGTCTAGAACTTCTGACCTTGGGTTATCCACCTACCTCAGCCTCACAAAGTGCTGGATTTACAGGCATGAGCCACCATGCCTGGCCCATTTTTGGGTATCTTCACAGCAGTGCTCCACTACCTCAGTACCAATTGATTGTATTAGGTCATTCTCATACTGCTATGAAGAAGTACCCCAAACTGGATAATTTGTAAAGAAAAGAGGATTAATTGACTCACAGTTCACAGGGATGGGGAGGCCTCAGTAAACTTACAATCATGGTGGAAGAGGAAGCAAACATGTCCTTCTTCACTTGGCCACAGAAAGGAGAAGAATGAAGGCTGAGCAAAGGGGGAAGCCCCTTATATAACCATCAGATCTCATAAGAACTTACTCTCATGACAATAGCTTGGGGGAAACTGCCCCCATTATTCAATTGTGTTCCTCTTGGTCCCTCCCACCACAAGTGGTGGTTATGGGAACTACAATTCAAGGTGAGATTTGGGTGTGGACAATAACCAAACTGTATCACTATCTCTCAGGAATAATGTGAAAAGAAAATGTGAGCATTTATGTTGAAGCCTGGGGTGAATAAATCATTGTGTGAAACAGTGGTTCTCATTAGATTCACTGGAAACTTGTTAGAAACGTGAAGCAGTCAAACGCCATCCCAAACCTACTAAATCAGAATTTCTAGGTATGGGGCCTTGTAATCTGTGTTTGAACAAGCCCTGCAGATGATTTGTGTGCTTAGTAAAGTCTGAGAACTACTGGTGTAAGGAATGTCACCTCTTTGTGTTTCAACACAAGGCACTAGAATCTTCTCTGCTATAGTTCTTTGACAATTCCTTGTCCTTTATATTCAAGGATTTTTCAAGGGGTCATGGGTAAAGATACTAATTTTTCACACATGGTTTTATGACATGAATTAACTATTTGATAAGTAATGAAATCATCTCTACACATAATTTTAAAAATAATTACAAATAACACTATAACTTAGGTAAAGGTCAAATTTGTTACTAGTTTTAAATTTCATCTATCTATGGAATTGAAGACATTATATTGTGTTTGGATCTAGGAAATACTGCTGCTTTGGTCTAATTCAGAATTCTCTTCTTATATTGCTCAAATTCTAGTTACTTTTTTCCTTCCTTCCTTCCTTTCTTCCTTCCTTCCTTCCTTCTTACCCTCTCTTCCCACCCCTTTCTCCCTTCTTCCTTTCTTCCTATTTTTCTTCTTTTCTTCCTTCAATGTCTTATATCATCATGTTTGTTATCTATCATGTCATGTTTGCTCACTTTAAATAATGTCATTGGTACTATTAGTACTGCTCAAAATTTATTCATGCATTTTTTTATTCACTTTAGATAAAAAATCTGTTAGAATAACATAGAAGACAATGGAAGGGAAGAGGAGGAGAGGAGAGGAGACCATCTCATAAAGGTATTGTTTCATAAAGTTTTTGTTGATTTTTGTGCATTCATATTTTTAGTTGCAATGTGGAATATTTTCTTACTGTCAGTTGAATGGAAAAAAATGCTTTGCATAATGCTTACCTTTAGTTCCCTCATTCTCTCTCTCTCTCTTTATGTCTTATTCTTCCACGTTCCTGTCTTCTTCCAACACTGCTTTCATGTTAATGGTTTCATGTTTTATGCTTCATTTCTTTGGACAAAAAGAGTAAACCCAAATTGTTTACAAGCTAAAAAATGGAATCCTTGTTACAAAGAAATAATCTTTATTAAAGATCTCTAGCTGAAGTTGTTCAGGGCTTTCCTATCAACTATTCCTATTTCACTGGTGGTTTGCAAAAATATTCTCACTGTATAAAATGGTATGTATTTTTTTGCAATTCTGATTTCTTAATCTCCTATTTTAATGGTACTTTTGATAGGAATATAATAACTTATTGTAAGTATGTTATTTATAAAATTATGCACCAGGCAAAAGCTCCACGTGCTTTAATTCATTTAACATTAATTATAACTTTATAAAGTAAGAACTATCATTATCCCCACTTTATAGAAGAGTAAACTGAAGAAAAGAGAGTTTAAGTGACATGTTCAGGATCACAGATTAATAAGTGGAAAAGCAGAGATTTAAGTGATGGTAGTCTTGTTACAGAACCCTTTGTCTTGACCTGCTACAAGATAACACTGAACACATGACTTAAGAGTAGCGGTTATCCTCAATTCCACTTCAAAAATCTCAACCTGTTTTTTCTATTTAGCAGTGCTAAGAGAAAGTGCAGATATTATCCTTCTCTAGGATTTTACCCAGTTTGGAATTTTAAATTTTGAATGTTTGAGGGAGATGGATACACGAGACTCTGAATTGTCAAGTTATTACTATTTCTGAAGAAGAAAAAGCTACTTTTCATGAAGCGCTTTAGGAAAAAATAAAGCAGGAGTTGGTTTACTTCTCTTTTACTCCCCAACCCCAACTTCCAGGCATTCAAGAATCTTCAGTGCTCAGAATTCACAACGGAAAAGTACCTGAACTCAGAGGTATCTGCTAGGAATGCAAGAGAATGCCCTATTACATTAGTTTCAGTTGAGGATATATTTGACTTACTCTTACCTTTTAAAACATTCATATCCTTGGAGAATTTTATTTTACATTATTTTACTAGATTAAAAAATAGTTCATGTTTAAATTCTTACCACATTTTATCTTCTTTCTCTTTTTTCCCTGCTTTTTGATTTTACTTATTTGGCTTTCTCTTGTTTCCCTATTTCTTTTTGTTTTCTTTTCTTTTCCAAATCTGATGTTTTCCAGAGTAGGTAGGGAATAGGCTGAGGCCAGTAAGGCATTTTCTTTTGAGGCAACATTTAACAGGGCACTGAAACACAGTTTATCTATCTATCTATCTATCTATCTATCTATCTATCTATCTATCGATATAATATTTTCATGCACTATTTTAAAAAAATCCTCGGCAAATCACGGCACATGGATTAACTTGTTGTAAATAAATTTTTATTGGAACAAACACCAGGATTAGAGTGAGGTAAGTGAGGAAGATTTGTACAATTATAGGATCAAATCCTGTCTTTATTTTAAGATGTTCTATTTTGTATTTTACATTTGACATTAAAACATTGCAGTAAATATGTTTATATTGATTATGTAGTTGTTTTGTACCTCGTTGATTTTTCCAACCTGATGCAGCTATCTCACTCACCTTACTCTAGTTCCAAACTTGGAATTCATAAGATTAAAAAAAATCCTAGAATCCACTCCCATACTACAATTATTGTTTATCTCATGAGATCCACAACTAAAAATTTTCCAAAAAGGAAATGCTTCTCTTCTTATAGATCACACATAAGGATTAATGGACTTTAGTAAGTATTCAATATATACCATACTACATAAAATATGACTGGATACTAAAATTTTGAGCACAAGTTCCACATATCTATTTTAGTTTTCAAGTAAAATAAAATAAATGTTTGACATTTCAAACTGGGATGTATCCCAGTATCTAACTCTTGGTATGCTCTTCAGATTTCCTAAAACTATAGAAGCTTATGCAATCCATAATGGTGGTCTGAATGACTTTCACACTTAAACTATTAAGAGTTCATCTAAGAATAAATACCACTAAACTTCTCTTTTTTGCCTTTACTCTTTGGTGTTACACAGTGGCTTTGTTGAACTCCAGTCCTCCACAGAACAAACACTGATGGTCAACTTCATAATATTTTCTTGGAGTAGGACCTAGTACAAACTGCCATAATCCTACAAAGGAAAGGGATCTTAGTCCCTCTTAGGTCAAGCACAATTAACTTTCCTCAAGCTGGCCTCAGTTGTCAGTCTATATCTATTATGAAGTGAATGTTTATATCATCCCAAATTCATATATTGAAATAAATTCTAACCTTCAATATGATGATATTAGGAGATGGAGCCTTTGGGAGATAATTAGGTCATAAGAGTGGAGCTCACATGACTGTGATTAGCACCCTTATAGGAAGTGACAGGAAAACATCCTCTTTTCTTGCTCTCCAACAAGTGAGATTAAGTCAGGGAGGCATCTGCTCATCAGGAAGCTGACTCTTACCAGACGTTGATCTGCTGATGCCTTGATCATGGACTTTTAGTTTCCAGAACTGTGAGAAATAAATGTTTATTGTTTAAGCCACCTAGTCTATGGTAATTTTTTATAGCACCATTAACTGACAAAGACATATACTTATGCTCAGACTTTATTTTGAGAACTCTAGCAATCCACTAAGTCTTCTGAAAAAGCTTCTGATATCAGCCTCTTGCAAGGCAGGTAATAGTTGTCTTCCACAGAACCGGTACTCCTCTCCTTGATATTAGTTCAGTAGCCTAGATGCCACTGCCTTCAGGTAACATAGCATCAGTACTTTTGCTCTTGCACTATTATGCTCTGAGCCAATTTGCCCATTCATACATTTCTCCTAACTTTAACTACCAATGATCAGGTATAGACTTGTTTCTGTCCTTCCTGAAGGTACTCAGATTCTTATGTATATTAGATCCCCTTCCTCTCTTATGATTTGTTTTATATTTCAGCAAAGCCAAGTGATGGGTACTTTTATAGTCATAATGCCACATTTATTCTAAAATAGTAGTTTTCAGTAAAGATTTACAGGGCCAAGAAGGCAAATTTTTTCAAAAAGAATAAGTGAATGAATAAATAAATGAATGAAAAATGGTTTTTCCCTGTGGTGGGGCAATACTATTTTTTTCTTCCTTCTATTGTTTACTTACCTTAATCCATAGAGAAGAAAACTTCCTACATTCTGTCTTCTTGAAGATATTATTTTTCCTGAGGTAGTCAGAGCATTCAAGTTGACAAAGGGCCTGACATTGAGCCATATTTTCCAGAGGAAGGCAGTCACAATGTAAAAATTTCTTCTACTACATACCTTGACTTCTACTGCTGTCCTTTCCTTGAGAAACAGTAGACTCCCACTAATGGCTCTTTCTTTTTATCATTCTTTTTTTATATATATACTTTAAGTTCAGGGCTACATGTGCAGAATGTGCAGGTTTGTTATGTAAGCATACACGTGCCATGGTGGTTTGCTGCACCCATCAACTTGTCTTCTACATTAGGTATTTCTCCTAATGCTATCCCCCCATCCCCCCACCCCATGACAGGCCACAGTGTGTGATGTTCCCCTCCCTGTGTCCATGTGTTCTCATTGTTCAACTCCCACTTATAATTGAGAACGTGCGGTGTTTGCTTTTCTGTTCTTGTGTTAGTTTGCTGAGAATGATGGTTTCCAGCTTCATCCATGTCCCTGCAAAGGACATGAACTCATCCTTTTTTACAACTGTATAGTATTCCATGGTGTACATTTGCCACATTTTCTTTATCCAGTCTATCATTGATGGGCACTTGGGTTGGTTTCAAATCTTTGCTATTGTGAACAGTGCTGCAATAAACATACGTGTGCATGTGTCTTTATAGTAGAATGATTTATAATCCTTTGGGTATATACCCAGTAATGGGATTGCTGGGTCAAATGGTATTTCTAGTTCTAGATCCTTGAGGAATCACCACACTGTTTTCCACAATGGTTGGACTAACTTACAGTCCCACCAACAGGGTACATTTCCCTACATCCTGTCCTGCATCTGTTGTTTCCTGACTTTTAAATGATCACCATTCTAACTGGCATAAAATGGTATCTCATTGTGGTTTTGATTTGCATTTCTCTAATGACCAGTGATGATGAGCTTTTTTAAATATGTTTGTTGGTTGCATAAATGTCTTCTTTTGAGAAGTGTCTGTTCATATCCTTGGCCCACTTTTTGATGGGGTTGTTTTTTTTCTTGTAAATTTGTTTAAGTTCTTTGTAGATGACTGATATTAGCCCTTTGTCAGATGGATAGACTGAAAAATTTTTCTCCCATTCTGTAGGTTGCCTGTTCACTCTAATGATAGTTTCTTTTGCTGTGCAGATTCTTAATGTGTTTGGCATTTTCTCCCAGTCTCTACCCTTTCACCTCATACTAATCTCTCTTTTTCTTCCTAGATTGTAGAAGACCTTCAGTCCTGCATCCACAAAGTCAAAATTACATAAATCGATAGTTCCAGGATGTGCGTACAGGTATAATATCTTGGGTCCAGCTACAGATCTCTTAATCTCCATGTAGCAATGGTGTACATCATCTTCTCAGAGGTTCTGCAGGTTCTCTGACACTTTTGTATCCTGTTACATTACTTTACATAGCATTTTACCCCCAACATAAGATCTAAGTTTGGTCACATCAAAAGTGGATACGTGTATACCTATGTTTTAGAATTGAGGACTGAAGATCTTTTCCTTTTCTTTTCTTCTCATCTCATATACCAAAAAAAGTCAAATGAATAGAATGGTATATGTTAAAAAGATCATATACAGTTATATATTTCTCCCATATGGTGGTAATATTTTACAAATCCAATGAGAAAGTGATCAATTTTTTACAACAGTTGATTTAAGAATTGTGTAAAAATATACCATTTTTACCCAATACAAAGGAAGAAACAGAATACTCCAAAAGAATCAGGAGATAGTCATTCACATTTAGGAAAAAGAGCTCCTTTAAGCAATAAATTTGTTTAAACTTTATTTAATTATTTTGTGTGTAAAATTCTTAGGTCAGGTAGAAGCAGCCAAAAATAATACTCACTTGTTGAAAAGCTATGCCAGTACTCTGTTACAATAGCTGTCAAAGACATAATCTTTTCCTAAGGAATAATTAAAAATAGCACATTCTCTGGCACAATCAAGATGGAATTTAGCCAGTCTGTGCCACAATCTATAGGTTTCAGTATGACAATATCTGGGTGACAATACTTGAAAATTGCTTCAAAAAGTCATGAATTTAATTTGATTTCCAATCAAAGATGTGAGAACATATAATTGGTCTAAACAAACAACAACAACAACAACAACAAAGATGCAACTAAAAGGGCTAAATTCTGACTGTGGTCACTATCTTGCTTTGCAGATGATATTAACCCTGTTTCCCAGTAGAACAAAGAACATTCTTCCAGTTTGGGTTTTTCTTTTTACCTCTCCTACAAATAAAAGTTTTTAAAAAGGCAACAACCATAAAACCATGTTGGAAAGTAAAGGATGTGATCCATTAATTTATAAATACCTTCTGAAGGTTTTCCTTCTTAACAAATTAAGCATGTCAAGGTAAGTACGCCACTGGCAAAAAAATACTGCCGTGCATCTTCATACCCCTAGTCATTAATTTGTACTGAATTCTACTTCTGTATTTGAAAAATTACATTACTCTGTTTCTCTTTGTTTCTGAAAACAATTTGCTAACCACTGTCATCAAGAAGTTTGTTTTTCTCTTCATGCATCTTGCAAAATCAGTAGTTTGTGCTGGTTTCCCAAGGTCTACAAATATTTTGGTACTGCTGCAGTTCTGGCATATATTAACACTGTTTCAATGTGTAATGATGTATGACTGCATACTGAGACAGACACCACTATTATCATCAGAATAAAGCCAAATATATGTACCTGGGGGGGGCAATAAAATATTGTTTCCACATTTTTTTGACTTCGTCATTCTGAAAAGAGCTCTAACCCTTATGAAAAAGAATCATTGATGTTTTAAAATTTTATCAAAAATACAAATTTTGCAAAAGACTTTTAGTCTTTTATCTACCAAGTAAGCAATGATAATATAACTCAAAAATATATATACCTGAGATATGCATATATTTTTTAAAATACAGGCTGGGCATGGTGTCTCACGCCTGTAATCCTAGCACTTTGGGAGGCCCAGGCAGGTGGATCACTTGAGGCCAGGAGTTCATGACCAGCCTAGGCAACATAGCAAAACCTCATCTCTATTAAATATACAAAAAAATTACCTGAGCATGGTGGCACACGCCTGTAATCCCAGCTACTAGGGAGGCTGAGGCACAAGAATTGCTTGAACCTGGGAGGCGAAGGTTGCAGTGAGCAGAGATCGCACCACTGCACTCCAGCCTGGGTGACACAGTGAGGTTCTGACTCAAACATTTTTTTTAAAAAGTAAATTAATTTGGAAAAAAAAAATAATTAAAAAATGCATTCAATGAAATTTGATGTTTTTTAATAGACAAAGAGCCACTCTTTTTAAAACTTAGGGCTTAGTTCCAACTAACCAAAAATGACCTATGCAGGGTCAGTAAACTGAAGTCTACAGGCAAAAACCAGCCCATCAGCTGTTTTATATGGCCAATGATCTAAGAAGGTATTTTGCATTTTTAAGGCCTTGAAAAAAAAGCATAAGAATATTTCATGACATATTAAAGTTATGCAACATTCAATTTAGTGTCCATAAATAAAATTTTATTAGAACACAGCTATGCTCACTTGTTTACATGCTGTCTATTGCTGCTTTTGTGCTACAACACAATTGAGAATTGCTACAGAATCTGTATGACCTACAAAGGCTAAAATGTTCGCTGTCTTACCCTTTATAGAAAATGTTTGCCTACCTCTGCTCTATATGAATGGAGGTAAGTGATGAACTTTTCTAGGGAGTCTGCTTCATACATTAAATGGAAACAAATCCCCTTATTTAATTGAAGTAGGTGGTCATTGTAAAATGTTTTCTTGTGGTTTGATGTGGGTTGTAGTATTCGTGAAACTAGAAGTGGCCATCCAACATTTACCTTAATATCTCATTTTATACTAGAGAATTGAAGTTTATAATGATTACCTAAATTTACTAAGGTTGATAGTAGTTGTGAAATATTGGAAACCATATTATAATACTAATAGTTGTCAGTTTCATATGCTTTCTGCCTGTTCGTCCTTATCCCAAACTTTTATATACATTTTATAATTATCTTCACAAATTTGCATGACAGATATTATTATTATTATTATTTTACAGCTTAATTAACTGAGTTAAGTAATTGCCTCATTGCTAAAAGTCTATAAGAGTCAGAGACATAATTCTAACTTGGGTGTCTCTGACTGCTAGAATTTTATATTTAATTATAAATGAATGCCTTTCTTCCTTAAGCAAAAGTCTTTATTCTCCTTTACCAAAGTTATAAGAAAATACATATTGTGTAAGTGAAATTAATATGGCCCACAAATGACAAATATTAGGAAATACTGACTAGTTTTTCCTAATATTTGTTTCCCTTCATACTGAAGAAAACAATTTATTAATGCATGAGAGGAAAATGTCTCAACTCTACATGCAGTGGCATTATTGGTATAATTGTTGGGTTAATAACCCTGAAAGAGCACTGAACAGGAACAGATAAAGCAGCTGGAAATAGGCATGTTAAACCCAGTATCAAAGTATTTTTCGAGATCAACCTCTTTGTACCTTCATTAAAAAGCAAATTAAGATTATCTTATATGACTTCGATGTTTTTTATTTTTTGATAAAGATTTTCATATATATTTTGTTGTAGTTTTGAATCAGAGAGTTGGACATTTTTATTCTTTATTTACAAATAAGAAAATGAGAGAGAAAAGTTTATTAATTTCCAAAGATTAATGGGCAGAGGTAGGGCCAAATATTTGCTCAAGTACTATTTCTAGGCTTGTTACTATGTCACTGACAGGAGGCTACTAGTATCACTGCCACCTCTCCCTTAAGTAGTCAGGAAAAAAAGATAACTGCTTGTGCTTGAGGGAAAACGAGGCAACAGGAATTAGTTTCCTTGTCCATATTAATAGATAAACTTCATTAATGTCCTTTAAGATGAGAGGAGTGGGGTACAACTCAACATTATTTAAGACAAATTTACTATCTTGTTTATGTTTTTATGTTTTGTTTTATTGTTGAAGTGCTTTTTTTCAATTTGGTATTTAGTGAATAATTCCACTGTTATCACTTTTTTTCACTTTCTGAAATACACACAAAGAAGAGATGGAATCACAACTGACAGAAGTATTTTCCCTCCATTAATTGAATAGCATGGTTTATTCAAATATATAGGCAATGGACATTTTTATGAGTATTTACTTTTCATGCTAGTCATGAGCTATTCTTATTAAGGTATGAGGGTTTCAATTGCAAAACAAGTATCTTTGATTGGCCAAGTGAATTTTATAGAAAGTATTTGGTAGAACAGGCCATGTCATTTTGTGTTGTTAGGAAGATCTGATGAACTCCATTGTTCCTTTTATCCAAGAATTGGCTGGCATTCCCCAGTACAAAGAAGCTATGTGTGCAGCTATATTTTTTTTAAGTTTACAGATTGTAACCATCCTATTATACTATCCAATATATTATATTCAAATAGTCCTCCTTGCATATTTTTTCTACCAAGAATAAGAAAAAAATACTTCTCTGAATGAATCCAAATTATACTGAAATCACACAAATGTGGAATTAGTTAACAATGTATAATATAAAGCAACTAGGAGTTGTAGCCTATTTTAACTCTGTATTAAAACAAGAATCTTTGGGCTACTAGTCAGCATTTTAGAAGTTTTATACTTGAGAGCTCTTGTTACATTTGTAATCTTGTTCCTTACATAGATGCTAAGGTATATGCTAAGAAAACTAACATAAGGAAATTACAAAATGATTCTTCTTTTTTATGTTATGTCTTTTCTACTTATTTTTTGGTTAAAAATCAGAATAAAACTGGTTTTAGTTAAACCAGTTAAGCCATTCCATAGTCATAAAATTCCTATGTCAGAGGTTTAAAAAGTACTGGAGAAATGTTTAATTGAAGAAAATAAATATTGTCCACAAGGGAATAGGATTTGAAAAAAAAAAATATATTCTAGTGGAGTGATCTTGGAGATGTCATAGTATTTTTCCTCAAAAGAATGCTCTGCTGAGTGAAATTCACATTCCACATTTAAAATGAAAGCAATGACAACAATAACAATAAAACTATGGTTATCAGGGTATAAACATATTGAGGTCTCTGAAAGTCAGGAATATTTATCAAAATACACCATAACTGGCAGTTAAGATTTGGGTGAATGGCATGTCATAATATAATTTTTTTTGGTATATTTTCTCTCTGAAGTAGGAATTAAAGCAATCTCTTGAGAGTAAAGTGGGGAGAGCAGGATTAGCAGGTTTAGGAGAAGAGAAAAAGTTTAAAACAATTATTGCATTATACACATGCTCTGCACACAGTGAATGCTGTCGATTGACTTGAAATTATAGGTAGCATTTGCAGAGCCTAAGACTGTTTGTGGTCCTGCCATTTCAACTGAATTGTTGAATCAATTTTGTCAAGCATCATGTTAATAAGGTCAAAAAGCCAGTGAAACTGGTTGTCTGGCTTGAATGATTGTGTGATGGAAGTGATTAGTAGAAACAGCCTTAAACTCACATTCATCCCCAAACCTGGTATCCGGATGAGCTGTCCTGCTTTCCATGCTAGGCTCTTCCTGTTTTTTATTTTTTTATTTTTTTCCCCCATGAAATCATTCTGTCTGTACTAATGCTCCTCAACATTTTAGATCCCACATTTCCAACTGAAAGCATATTTCATATGCCTGCTTTTAAAGTTTCTTCAAATAAAAAAAAACTAAATGTCAGAAACATGAGGGGTTTTCAATTAGTTTAGAAATAAATACCTTTATATTGATGGCATCAAATGTGTACTTTTTAAGGCATTTTCAGTTTAGCAGTGGCTTTGAAACTGCACCTTGTTCCATTACCTCCATATGTTCTCTAGGGGAATCATGTGCTAGTAAATTTCTTTTAATAATAAAAATTTTCATATTTTCCAAAATCTAATTATTGATAACTTTTCATTGGTACTTGTTTTTAAGTATTGAACCTCAATGAGTATTAATTTTACATTTTGAGAAAAATATCTAAAACAACTATCATTGGTGTGGAAATTAGGTTACAGCTTTTATCAATCTTTACTTGACTCAGTGAAGTCTCACTTATGGCTTCCCATTGTCTACATATTAAAAATTAAATTTTTATCAAGAAGATAGGATTAATTAAACCCAGATCTAAAATCTGACTCGTTTGTTGTTTTAGGAGTATCATAGCAGGGCACATAGGATCTGTTAGTACTTTAAATTCTAAGATTTATTTTAGTTCTAGATATTCTTTCAGTGGGACCCTAGAAGGATTAAGTCCTAGTTTTCCACTGTGGCAACCCAGTAACTAATACACATTTTCTTGTTTTTTATTCCTTCTTCATTTCACATTGTCATTATCTCACACTTCTTCCTGACCTTAGCTTCCAAATACACTTGCAGTCATGTTTTTATGTCAGTTACTGCTTCTGGGGAGCCACACATAAGATAACTTTATTTTTTAAATTACGGGTTGACTTCACACAGAATTTGTTAAGATATGGGAAAAAAATGCAGACAATCCAAGTCTACACTTTTACATTATTTCTTTTATTTTTTCTTAAAATAAAGAAAACTAGAATCATATAGTTATTTTCTCCAAACTTTTATCTTGCTACATCATTATACATGAAACCTCTATTAAAATAAATTGTAATATTTGTTATGGTTTTATTTCATTTTTATTTTATTTTAATAATATTTTATTTCAAATATTTTATTCTTATTTTATTTTTAAGATTTGCTCTAAATTCAACTTCTATTTAACTGTTTTACCAAACATAGATTGTCAAAGATAATGCAAACATCCAAGATATTTCAAATAGAAGAGGGTTTAATACTGGGGGCAGGCTAAAGGAGCAGAAATTGGTGATAATGAAAGTAGTTTGGAATTGATACCTCTGCCATATTCTTGATAGTCTAAATGTTGCTATTTACATGCAAACTCAGAAATCTGTACGAAACCACTACCAACGTCCCTGCTTCATGTGATGGCAGGGAAATATGAAGATCACTGCAAAGCCCCTTTTAGCAAAGTCATATTTTAGCTGCTGTTCTTAGACACATAAGATCATGGCTTCTGACTAATTTTCTACCTTCCAAGTTTTGAGTAACTGCATTTCACAGAAGGTAATCATATCCAGAACCCTTAAACAAGAGTCTAATATATTCAATTCCCAGGCTTCTCATGCCTAAAATTGCGTGCAAACAGTAGAAAGAAAAAAAATGATGATAGAACAGCAACAAAAGCAATAACAAAATATTGCTGAACAGTGAATGTTAACATAAGTCACAGAATTTTATTGGACTTGAACTTCACATTTACTCAGTAAATTTAAAATCTTCTCTATTTCCATATACATAAACACACACATATATATGTATGTATATATATATATATACATACATGTGTGCCTGTGTGTGTGTATGTGTATGCACAAAGACAGAAATGTACTTTGTTTAGCACACTATTAAGTTACAGTTGGGCTCTGCATAGATACTAAGATACTATATTCATGATAAAAATTCTTTTAAATAAGTTTAAAACAAAGCATGTAGCAATTTCCTGTCATTATCACAAGTTAGTGACTTTCACTTAATTATTGTATCATTTTTATCTTCTATGTGTCTTGTTCATGTTCATAATTTATAAGTAACATATTACAGTAAAATTTTGACAATTACATGCTCCATATCTCATTCCTTTTTCTAACATATGTGCCATTTATCTACTGCTGCATTAGTTTCCCAAGACTGCTATAACAAATTGCAACAAACTTGACTTAAAACAACAGAAATTTATCCTCTCTTAGTTCTGGAGTTCAGAACTGCAAAATCAAGGCATCTGCACCTTCTGGAGGCTCTGAAGAAAATCTGTTTCATGCCTCTCTCCTAGTTTCTGGTTGCAGGCAATTCTTGGGTTTCCTTTGCTGGTAGACACATCACTCAAATCTCTGCCTCCATCTTTACATCCTCTTCATCTTTGTATGTTTATGTGTCTTCCTTTCTTATTATAAAGAGCCCTGTTATTGGATTTATGCCCCAACATAACCTAAGATAATCTCATTTTAAGATTCTTACCTTAATTATACCTGCAAACATCTTATTCCAAATGAAGTAACATTATGAGATTCCTGGTGGACATATCCTTTAAGGGACTACTCTCTGCCCTACTATACTGTGTAAAAAATTACTCCAGAATTTGTCAGTTTAAAAGGGCAAACATTATTATATCACAATTTCTATGAGTTGAGGAACCTAAGCATGGCTTAACCAGGTACACAGGCTCTGGGCATTTCACAAACTACAATCCATTTGTAGGCTAGGACTACTACCTTCATCTAAGATTCTTTGGGGAGGACACATTTCCAATCTCTTCATATGACTATTGACAGATTTAGGTCCCTACTGGATGATGGTTGAAGACATCACACTTTGCCACTGGGGATCTCCAAAAGGCAGTTTTCCACATGGTACCTGGCTTCCTACAACAAGTGAAAGAGAACAAGAGAAGGTGCCCACGACAAAAAATTGCCTGCAACCAGGATGCTTTTTGAAACCTAATGTCAAAGGTGAAATCGCACCAATTTTGTTATATTCTATTTGTCAAAAGCAAGTCATTAGATAAGCCCATGCTCAAGGGAATGGCATTACAAATGAGAATAAATATCTGGAGGAGATAGTCACTGAGAGCCATCTTAGAAACTGCCTAATACAAATTATTTCTCTATCTTTTGTTCAGTTTCATCAAATCAATACTTTTCAGTGACGACATGCATTCTCTAAAGTGCATTTCATTAAGGAAGAAGAAAGGAAAGAGCAAAAGAGAGGTAAGTATCATTAAAACATGAATAAAAGTGTCTGAGTGTAGTCAAAAAATAAAATAAAACAAAACATTTTGGAAAGAAATACTTCCAATAGTCAGACAAGAAATTATTATGCTTAATCATATTTTAGAAAACTTATTTTCTACTAGAGAGACAAACATGAAGTGGTCTCTAGTTAATATATATTTTTTATTTATTTTTTATTTCATTATCCGGTTTTGTTAATATTTTAGTCTTTAAAATTTAATGCTTTTGGTTTTGTGTCATGTATTACATACTGTTTTTCCTATTACACTTTCCTTTAAAAAGATCCTTATTTCATTTTACTTAAGACAATCTTTTCCTAATGGAAATAAAATGAATGTTACTTTTATAATTATGCCCCTTGGTCTTTAGGTAAACAAGTAAAATGATTTCTAGATTACTTTAATAAGCAAAATTAGATGTAATTGAAAAAATTAGATTTTTGTAAAAATCTGAGCTACTTGTGTATGCTTCATGAGTTTTAGCTGTCTAAATGGACAAATGGATTTTTAAATTATTTATATTTTTCAGTTTGGGAATTTTATAGGTTTCTTAACTTTTTTTAAGTGCTAAAAGCCTGTGCTTATAAGCATTTTGAATAAATTTAATTTTCAATCTAATAGTTTCAGGTATTTCAAGCTGAATATTTAAAATATAATTCAGTATGCTAGATAGATTAACTAATGGCAAATAATTGGTAGAATTATTTGAAGCATTTACTTGGAAAGTTTTGAATGTATATTAATTACAGCATAGCTAAACTTAGAACATGTATTGGTTATGATGACTGGATACATTTTATCTAGCCAAGAAAAAGCCAGATTTGTCACCTATTGCTTCTCCTACACATTTCTCCATTGCACCATGTATGAACAAAATCCATAAAGTAGAAAATAGTCATTGAAAGCAGAAATAACTTAGTGTATATTAAAATACAAATAGTTCAGAATAGTCAAAACAATTTTGAAAAAGGCAAATAAAAGTGTAGTATTTATACTGATCAATTTTAAGAAAAAAACAGTAATAAGGAAAGTGTGATATTTGTGTAGGATGGACATGCATGTGATTAGAACAGAGTAGGAAACAAAGAAATATGCTACCTCATACATGCTCAACTGATTTTCAATAAAGGTGTGAAAATGTAGAATATAGAATAGACATTCTTTTGACAGATGTCTCTAAAATAAATGAATATCCATTTGGAAAAAAATGAATATATATCCTTACCTCACATCAAGGGTTGAAATTAACTTACAGTGGATCATGGAGCAAAACAGAAGATAAGAAATGTATTCAAGAAAATATGGAAGAAAATCTTTTGTTTTCAAGCATAGAAAAAGATTTCCTAGGATGCAAAAAGCACAAACCATGGAAAAAATCATAAGCTTCATCAAACTTGAAATATTTTGGTCTCTGAAAGACACTAGTCACTATCACATACTTGAAAAAGATAAATTACAAAGTGGAAGAAAATATAAGCAAGGGAGTGCTTCCAAGATGGCCTAGTCGGAACAGCTCCAGTCTGCAGCTCCCAGCGAGATGGACACAGAAGACGGGTGATTTCTGCATTTCCAACAGAGGTACCTGGTTCATCTCACTGGGACTGGTTGGACAGTGGGTGCAGCCCATGGACGGCGAGCCAAAGCAGGGCAGGGCATCACCTCACCTGGGAAGTGCAAGGCGTCAGGGGATTTCCCTTTCCTAGCCAAGGGAAACCGTGACTGACTGTACCTGGAAAAACAGTACACTCCTGACAAAATACTGTGCCTTTTGATGGTCTTAGCAACTGCAGACCAAGAGATACTCTCCTGTGCCTGGCTCAGCAGGTCCCATGCCCACAGAGGCTTGCTCACTACGAGCGCAGCAGTCTGAGATCCACCTGTGAGGCTGCAGCCTGGCAGGGGGAGGGATGTCTGCCATTGTTGAGGCTTGAGTAGGTAAACAAAGTGGCCGGGAAGCTCTAAATGGGTGGAGCCCACTGCAACTCAGCAAGGCCTACTGCCTCTATAGACTCTACCTCTGTGGGCAGGGCATAGCTGAACAAAAGGCAGCAGACAACTTCTGCAGACTTAAACATCCCTGTCTGACAGCCCTGAAGAGAGCAATGGTTCTCCAGCACAGCGTTCAAGCTCCGAGAATGGATAGACTGCCTCCTCAAGTGTGTCCCTGACCCCCATGTAGCCTGAATGGGAGGCACCTCCCAATAGGGGCCGACAGACACCTCATACAGGTGGGTGCCCCTCTGGGATGAGGCTTCCAGAGGAAGGATCAGGCAGCAATATTTGCTGTTCTGCAGCCTCTGCTGGTGATACCCAGGCAAACAGTGTCTGGAGTGGACCTCCAGCAAACTCCAACAGACCTTCAGCTGAGGGGCCTGACTGTTAGAAGGAAAACTAACAAACAGAAAAGAATAGCATCAACATCAACAAAAAGGACATCCACACCAAAACCCCATCTGTAGGTCACCAACATCAAAGACCAAAGGTAGATAAAACCACAAAGATGAGAAGAAACCAGAGCAGAAAAGCTGAAAATTCCCAAAACTAGAGTGCCTCTTCTCCTCCAAAGGATCGCAACTCCTCACCAGGAACAGAACAAAACTGAACAGAGAATGACTTTGACGAGCTGACAGAAGTAGGCTTCAGAAGGTCGGTAATAACAAACTTCTCCGAGCTAAAGGAGCATGTTCTAACCCATCGTGAGCAATCTAAAAACCTTGAAAAAAGGTTAGACAAATGGCTAACTAGAATAAACAGTGTAGTGAAGACCTTAAATGACTTGATGGAGCTGAAAAACACAGCACGAGAACTTCGTGATGTATGCACAAGCTTCAATAGGCGATTCAATCAAGTGGAAGAAAGGAGATCAGTGATTGAAGATCAAATTAATGAAATAAAGTGAGAAGACAAGATTAGAGAAAATAGAGTAAAAAGAAATGAACAAAGCCTCCAAGAAATATGGGACTATGTGAAAAGACCAAATCTACGTTTGATTGGTGTTCCTGAAAGTGATGGGGAGAATGGAACCAAGTTAGAAAACACTCTTCAGGATATTATCCAGGAGAACTTCCCCAATGTAGCAAGGCAGGCCAACATTCAAATTCAAGAAATACAGAGAACACCACAAAGATACTCCTCGAGAAGAGCAACCCCAAGACACATAATTGTCAGATTCACCAAGGTTGAAATGAAGGAAAAAATATTAAAGGCAGCCACGGAGCAAGGTCGAGTTACCCACAAAGAGAAGCCCATCAGATTAACAGAGGATCTCTCGGCAGAAACCCTACAAGCCTCAAGAGAGTCGGAGCCAATATTCAACATTCTTAAAGAAAAGAATTTTCAACTCAGAATTTCATATCCAGCCAAACTAAGCTTCATAAATGAAGGAGAAATAAAATTCTTTACAGACAAGCAAATGCTGAGAGATTTTGTCACCACCAGGCCTGCCATATAAGAGTTCCTGAAGGAAGCACTAAACATGGAAAGGAACAACCAGTATAAGCCACTGCAAAAACATGCCAAAGTGTAAAGACCATCGATATGAAGAAATGACATCAATTAATGGGCAAAGTAACCAGCTAGCATCATAATGACAGGCTCAAATTCACACATAACAATATCAACTTCAAATGTAAATGGGCTAAATGCCCCAATTAAAAGACATAGACTGGCAAATTGGATAAAGAGTCAAGATCCATCAGTGTGCTGTATTCAGAAGACTTATCTCACGTGAAGAGACACACATTGGCTCAACATAAAAGGATGGAGGAAGATCTACCAAGCAAATGGAAAACTAAAAAAAGCAGAGGTTGCAATCCTAGTCTCCGATAAAACAGACTTTAAACCAACAAAGATCAAAAGAGACAAAGAAGGCCTTTACATAATGGTAAAGGGATCAATTCAACAAGAAGAGCTAACTATCCTAAATATATATGCACTCAATAAAGGAGCACCCAGATTCATAAAGCAAGTCCTTAGAGACCTACAAAGAGACTTAGACTCCCACACAATAATAATGGGGGATTTTAACACCCCACTGTCAATATTAGAAAGATCAATGAGACAGAAGGTTAACAAGGATATCCAGGATTTGAACTCGGCTCTGCACCAAGTGGACCTAATAGAATTCTACAAAACTCTCCACCCCAAATCGACAGAATATACATTCTTCTCAGCATCACATTGCACTTATTCTATAATTGACCACATAATTGGAAGTAAAACACTCCTCAGCAAATGTAAACGAACAGAAATCACAACAATCTGTTTCTCAGACCACAGTGCAATCAAATTAGAACTTAGGATTAAGAAATTTACTCAAAATTGCACAACTACATGGAAACTGAACAACCTGCTCCTGAATGACGACTGGTTAAATAACGAAATGAAGGCAGAAATAAAGATGTTGTTTGAAACGAATGAGAACAAAGACACAATGTACCAGAATATCTGGGACACATTTAAAGCAGCGTGTAGAGGGAAATTTATAGCACTAAATGCCCACAAGAGAAAGCAAGAAAGATCTAAAATCGACACCCTAACATCATGATTAAAAGAACCAGAGAAGCAAGAGCAAACAAATTCAAAAGCTAGCAGAAGGCAAGAAATAACTAAGATCAGAGCACAACTGAAGGAGATAGAGACATAAAAAATCCTTCAAAAAATCAATGAATCCAGGAGCTGGTTTTTTGAAAGGATAAACCAAATAGACTTCTAGCAAGATTAATAAAGAAGAAAAGAGAGAAGAATCAAATAGATGCAATAAAAAATGATAAAGGGGATATCACCACCGATCCCACAGAAATACAAACTATCATCGGAGAATACTATAAACATCTCTAGGCAAATAAACTAGAAGATCTAGAAGAAATGGATAAATTCCTGGAAACATACACCCTCCAAAGACTAAACCAGGAAGAAGTTGAATCTCTGAATAGACCAATAACAGGTTCTGAAATTGAGGCAATAATTAATAGCCTACCAACCAAAAAAAGTCCAGGACCAGACGAACTAACAGCCGACTTCTGCCAGGGGTACAAAGAGGAGCTCATACCATTTCTTCTGAAACTATACCAATCAATAGAAAAAGAGGGAATCCTCCCTAACTCATTCTATGAGGCCAGCATCATTCTGATACCAAAGCCTGGCAGAGACACAACAAAAAAAGAGAATTTTAGGCCAATATCCCTGATGACCATTGATGTGAAAATCCTCAATAAAATACTGGCAAACCGAATCCAGCAGCACATCAAAAAGCTTATCCACCAGGATCAAGTTGGTTCATCCCTGAGATGCAGGGCTGGTTCAACATATGGCAATCAATAAACGTAATCCATCACATAAACAGAACCAATGACAAAAACCACATGATTATCTCGATAGATGCAGAAAATACCTTTGATAAAATTCAACAGCCCTTCATGCTAAAAACTCTCAATAAACTAAGCATTGATGGAACGTATTTCAAAATAATAAGAGCTATGTATGACAAACCCACAACCAATATCATACTGCATGGGCAAAAGCTGGAAGCATTCCATTTGAAAACCGGCACAACACAAGGATGCCCTCTGTCACCACTCCTACTCAACATAGTGTTGGAAGTTCTGGCTAGGGCAATCAGGCAAGAGAAAGAAATAAAGCGTATTCAATTAGGAAAATAGGAAGTCAAATTTTCCCTATTTGCAGATGACATGATTGTGTATTTAGAAAACCCCATTGTCTCAGCCCAAAATGGCTTTCAGCTGATAAGCAACTTCAGCAAAGTCTCAGGATACAAAACCAATGTGCAAAAATCACAAGCATTCCTATACACCAATAACAGACAAACAGAGGGCCAAATCATGAGTGAACTCCCATTCACAATTGCTACAAAGAGAATAAAATACCTAGGAATCCAACTTACAAGGGAGGTGAAGGACCTCTTCAAGGAGAAATACAAACCACTGCTCAAAGAAATAAAAGAGGACACAAACAAATGGAAGAATATTCCATGCTTATGGATAAAAAGAATCAATATCATGAAAATGGCCATACTGTCCAAGGTAATTTATAGATTCAATGCCATCTCCATCAAGCTCCCCATGACTGTTTTCACAGAATTGGAAAAAACTACTCTCAAGTTCATATGGAACCAAAAAAGAGCCCTCATAGCCAAGACAATCCTAAGCAAAAAGAACAAAGCTGGAGGCATCACACTACCTGACTTCAAACTACACTACAATGCTACAGTAACCAAAACAGCATGGTACTGATACCAAAACAGATACATAGACCAATGGAACAGAACAGAGGCCTCAGAAATAATACCACACATCTACAACCATCTGATCTTTGACAAACCTGACAAAAACAAGCAATGGGGAAAGGATTCCCTATTTAATAAATGGTACTGGGAAAACTGGCTAGCCATATGTAGAAAGCTGAAACTGGATTCCTTTCTTATACCTTATACAAAAATTATCTCAAGATGGATTAAATACTTAAATGTAAGACCTAAAACTATAAAAACCCTAGAAAAAAACCTAGGCAATACCATTCAGGACATAGGCATGGGCAAAGACTTCATGACTAAAACACCAAAAGCAATGGCAACAAAAGTCAAAATAGACAAATGGAATCTAATTAAACTAAAGAGCTTCTGCACAGCAAAATAAACTATCATCAGAGTGAACAGGCAACCTACAGAATGGAGAAAATTTTTGCAATCTACACATCTGACAAAGGGCTAATAACCAGAATCTACAAAGAACATAAACAAATTTTCAAGAAAACAACAACCCCATCAAAAAGTGGGCAAAGTATTTGAACAGACACTTCTCAAAAGAAGACATTTATGGAGCCAACAGACACATGAAAAAATGCTCATCATCACTGGTCACCAGAGAAATGCAAATCAAAACCACCATGAGATACTATCTCATGCCAGTTAGAATGGTGATCATTAAAAAGTCAGGAAACAACAGATGCTGGAGAGGATGTGCAGAAATAGGAACTATTTTACACTGTTGGTGGGAGTGTAAATTAGTTCAACCATTGTGGAAGACAGTTTGGCGATTCCTCAGGGATCTAGAATGAGAAATACCATTTGACCCAGTGATCACATTCCTGGGTATACACCCAAACGATTATAAATCATGCTACTATAAAGACACATGCACACGTATGTTTATTGCAGCACTATTCACAATAGCAAAGACTTGGAACCAACCCAAATGTCCATTAATGATAGGCTGGATTAAGAAAATGTGGCACATATACACCATAGAATACTATGCAGTTGTAAAAAAGGATGAGTTCATGTCCTTTGCAGGAACATGGATGAAGCTGGAAACCATCATTCTCAGCAAACTATCACAAGATAAAACCAAAGAAAACCAAACACCACATGTTCTCACTCATAGGTGGGAATTGAACAATAAGAACACATGGACACAGGAAGGGGAACATCACATACCGGGGCCTATCAGGGGGTGGGGGGTTGGAGGAGGGATAGCATTTGGAGAAATCCGTAATGTAAATGATGAGTTGATTGGGTACAGCAAGCCAACATGGCACATGTATACTTATGTAACAAACCTGCACATTGTGCGCATGTACTCTAGAATTTAAAGTATAATTTAAAAAATTTAAAAAGAAAATATTAGCAACATATACTTATATCCAAAGTATATACAGAAACTAACTCCATTAAGAAAATGGACAAATGATTTCAGCAGACACTTCACAAACCAAGATATCAAATGATCAATCAGCACCTCCCAAAGTGATCAGCATCTTTTGTCATTATGGATTAGCACTGTAAACCCATTAGAATGGCTTAAAATTTTAATGACTGACCATACCAAGAGATACCAAGGATGTGGAGCAAATAGAGTTTTTATTTGCTGTTCTTAGTTATGGTACAACCAATTTGGAATACAGATTGTCCATTTCTTATAACTTTAAACATGTCCTTACTTTTATATCCCAGCCATATCACTCCTAGGTAGTTACTCAGGGAAAACGAAAATGTGAATCCACAAAAAGACTTTTGCAAAAATGCTCATAACAGATTTATTAAAAGAGCCTAAAATTGGATAAAACACAGATGTTCAACAGCAGGTGAACAGATAAACAAATTGTGATATATTCGTATAATGAAATATTGTTCAACCTTAGAGGAGAATAAACTATTGTTACACACAGCATAAAGGAATCTTGAAAAATGGTATGCTGAGCAAAAGAAGACAGAACAAAATATGTATTGGGTATATAATTCCATATATAGTCTATAAAAATTCTATATATAATTCTATATTAGGCAGCATTAATTCGGAATGACAGGAAACCTATTAGTGGTTGCCTGGAACTTGAAGAGGTGGGTGACTGCAGAGATACCCAACAGAACATTCTGGAGTAATGGAAATTTTCTGTATTTGAATACAGTGATAGTGACATGCCTTCATACTTTGGTCATCTAATAGAACTATACTCTTAGCATAATGCATTTTAGTATATATAAATTATATCAGAATAAGGTTAAATTTCAGTATGTATGTATCAATTTTTGAAAATATTTCTGAAGCTACTATTTGTTTTCAATTTATCAAAAAATTAATGTGATTGAAGAACAGTTTAATTTTTAAGCATGTAAATAAAATGGATAGCTGCATAAAGCAGAGATTAGCTGCCCAATAACCACTAATCACAAGTGGCTATCAAGCCCTTGAAATGTGGCTATGCTGGATTGAGATGTGCTGTAAATGTGAAAATAAACACTACATTTTGAAAACATAGTTTGAAAAATGATTTTAAATATCTCAATACTTTATATTGATTGCACATCGAAATATTTTTGATATATTAGGTAAAATAAAATATATTATGCTCAGAATAGTAATACATAATCAATATGTCATATACAACTTACTACATGTTTTAAGTATAGTATGTCATCTATTTCCTTTAAGATTGCAATTTTATTTTATTTTTATTTTTATACATTTAGGGGATACAAGTGCATTTTTTTACATAGATCTACTGTGTAATGAAGTCTGGGCTTTTAATGTAAATGTAACCTAAATATTGTACATTATACCCAATACAATAATAAATAAATATAATGATAATATATTTAAAATATACCCAATAGTATATTATACCAATATAATGATACATATCCAATAATATACCCAAAAATAATATAGCCAATGATAATATACCCAATATAATAATAAATATTCCCAATAAAGGGATGAGTTAATCTCTCTTCCCTTACCCCTCTCCCACCCTTTCACTTTTTGGAGTCTTCAAAGTCTATTATTACACTCTGTAGGTCCATGTGTATCTATTGTTTAGCTTCCACTTATAAGTGAGAACATACAATATTTGGCTTTCTGTTTCTGAGTTACTTCACTTAAGATTATAGCCTTCAGTTCCATCCACATTGTAGCAAAAGACGTGATTTTCTTCTTTTTTATGACTGAGTAGTATTCCATTGTGTGTATGTGCCACTTTTTAAAATCTGATCATTCTTTGGTGGACTATTAGGTTGATATTACAACTTTGCTATTGTGAATAACGCTATGACAAACATACGAGAGTGCAGGTGACTTTTTTTATATAATAATTTCTTTTCCTTTGGGTAGATACCCAGTAGTGGGATTGCTAAATCAAATGGTAAGTCTATCTTTAGTTGTTTGAGAGATCTCCATACTGTTTTCCGTAGAGGTTGTGCTAATTTACATTCCAATCAACAGTATGTAAGTGTTTCCTTTTCTCCACATCTTGGCCAATATCTGTTGTTTTTTTGACTTTTTAATGATAGTCCCTGAGACTGATGTAAGATGGTATCTCATTGTGGTTTTGACTTTCATTACTCTGATAAAAAGTGATATTGAATATTTTCTCATATGTTTGCTGGCCACTTTTATGTCTTCTATTGAAAAATGTCTGTTCTCGTCCTTTGCTCACTTTACAATGGAATTATTTGTTGTTGTTGAGTTCCTTGTAGATTCTGGATATTACCCCTTGGTCAGATGCATGGTATGCAAATATTTTTTCCCATTTGGTAGATTGTCTGTTTACTGTATTCATTATTTCTTTTGTGGTGCAAAAGCTTTTAAGTTTAATTAAGTCTCATTTGTCTATTTTTTGTTTTTGTTTTTGATGCCCTTGTTTTGAGATCTTCAATTCTTTGCCTAGTCCAATAACCAGAAGAGTTTTTCTTAGGTTTTCCTCTAGGATTTTTATAGTTTCAGGTCTTACATTTAAGTCTTCTATCCATTTTGAGTTAATTTTTGTATATGATGAGAGATAGGTGTCCAGTTATATTATGCTGCCTATGGCTATCCAATTTTTCCCAGCACCATTTATTGAAAATGGTGTCCTTTTCCCAAGGCATATTTGTGTCAACTTTGTTGAAGATTGGTTGATTGTGGGAGGTGGCTTTATTTCTGGGTTATCTGTTCTGTTCCATTGATCTAGATATCTATTTTTATATCAGTACCATGCTATTTTGGTTACCATAGCCTTGTCATAAAATTTGAAGTCAGGTAATGTGATGGCTCTAGCTTTCTACTTTGTGCTTAGGATTGCTTTGGCTGTTTCTTGGTTCCATATGAACTTTAGAATTATTTTCTTGAATTCTGGGAAAAATTACATTGCTAGTTTGATAGGGACTGCATGAAGTCTGCAGATTGCTTTGGGCAAGATGGTCATTTTAATGATATTGATTCTTTTGTTCCATAACATGAGATGTTTTTCCATTCATTTGTGTTATCTACAAATACACTCATGGGTATTTTGCAATTCTCCCTCTAGAGATTTTTCACCTTGATTAAATGTATTATTAGGTATTTAATTTTTTTGAAGCTATTGTAAATAGGGTTGAATTCTTGATTTGCTTCTCATTATTGGTGTATAGAAATGCTACTGATTTTTGTACATTGATTTTGAGTCCTAAAAGTTTACTGAAGTCATTTAGCAAATCTAGAAGTCTTTTGGAGGAGTCTTTAGGGCTTTATAGGTATAAGATCATATCACCAGTGAACAGAGATAACTTGACTTTTTCTTTTTCAATATGGGTGTCTTTTATTACTTTCTCTTGCCTGATTGTTCTGGATAGGACTTGCAGTATCATTTTGAATAGGAGTGGTAAAAGTGGGCATCTTTGTCTTATTCCAGTTATTAGGGGGAAGGCTTTTAACTTTTCTCATTCATTACGATGTTGACTGTTGATTTGTCTGTCATATGTGGTTTTTATTATTTTGAGGTATGCTCCTTCAATGTTTAATTAGTTGAGGGTTTTTTATATTGAATGCTTTTTATGCATCACTTGAGATGATCATATAGATTTCTTTTGAATTCTCTTTATGTGATGAATCACATTTATTTATTTGCATATGTTGAACCATCCTTGTATCCCTGGAATAAAGCCCACTTGATCATGGCGTCTTATCTTTTTGATGTGCTGTTTAATGTAGCTTGTTAGTTAGTATTTTTGTTGAGGATTTTTGCATCTATGTTCCTCAGGGATATCGGCCTTTAGTTTTCTTTTTATGTTGTGCCCTTACTCAACTTTGGTATTCAGGCAATACTGTCCTTGTAGAATGAGTCAAGAAGGATTCTCTCCTCTTTAACTTTTTGAAACCATTTCATTAGGATTGATACCAGTTCTTCTTTGTACACATGGTAGGATTTGGCTGTAAATTTGGTCCTGAGCTTTTTTCTGTTGGGAGACTTCTTTACTATTATTACTAATTCAATTTAAGTTACTGGTCTCTTTAGGAGTTCTGCTTACTCCTTGTTCAATCTTGAGAGTGTCTATGTTTCCAGGAGTTTATCCATTTCCTCTAGATTTTCTAGTTTGTGCATTTAGAGAAGCTCATAGTTTTCTCCGATAATCTTTTTTATTTCTGTGGTATCAGTTGTAATGTCACCTCTATTGTTTCTGATTGTGCTTATTTGAATCTTCTTTGTTTCTTGGTTAATCTAGCTAGTGGCCTATCAATTTTATATATCTTTTTCTTGATCCTTTGTATTGCTTTTTGATCTCAATGTTACTTACTTTTGATTTGATCTTTGTTATTTCCATTCTTCTTCTAGCTTTGGGTTTTGTTTGTTCTTACTATTCCAGTTCCTTCAGGTGCAATGTTTCATTGTTAACTTGAGATCTTTTTCTACTTTTTTGATGTACTCATTTAACCTTATAAACTTTCCTCATACTGCTTTTCCATATACCAAAGGCTGTATCTCTATTTTTATCTGGGTTTATCCAAAGATTATTTAGGGACAAATTTTACAATTCCGTAGTTTTGAGAGTTCCTCCTAATATTCATTTCTAGTTTTATTCCACTGTTATGCAAGAAGATGTTTGATATGATTTTGACTTTTAAAAATTTATTGAAACTTGCCTTGTAGACTTTCATAGGGTACATTTATAAGAATATTTTATCTGCTGATGAGAAAAATACATATTCTGTGGTTGTAGGTTAGAATGTTACGTAAATGCTGTTAGGTCTACTTAGTCTAGAGTCCAATTTAAGTCCAGAGTTTCTTTGTTGCTTTTCTGCCTTGATGATCTGTCTGGTGCTGTCAGTTGAGTGCTGAAGTCTCCTGCTCTTACTGCATTGCCAGGATTGTTATGCTGGTTTATTCTCATCTAGAGAAGCTGTCACTTATTTTTGAATTTACTTTCATTTGGATGAAAATTTTTCCTGAGGTTGTGACTATAATATATGACAAATGGGGTCATTGGAGTTTGCTTTTACATGCTTTCTGGGGCCATGACTTTGTTAAATTCCTTGGTTATAGACAGCCTTCGTTTGGTGCTTTCCTCAAATGTTAGTTACAGTAGCAGAGCACTAGGCTGGTGCAGAAGCTCTCAGCTTACTTCAGGGATGGGGAGGTGGAGGTCTCAACAAGCTTATCTTCCTCCCAAGCATTATACACTGGCCTCAGCAATTTTGTTTTTTTTTTTGTTTGTTTTTTTGACAGAATCTCGCTCTGTTGCCAGGCTGGAGTGCAGTGGCGTGATCTTGGCTCACTGCAACCTCTGCCTCCTGGGTACAAGTGATTCTCCTGCCTCAGCCTCCTGAGTAGCTGGGACTATAGGCACGTGCCACCATGCCCAGCTAATTTTTGTATTTTTTAGTAGAGACGGGGTTTCACTATGTTGGCCAGGATGGTCTCAATCTCTTGACCTCGTGATCCACCCGCCTGGGCCTCCCAAAGTGCTGGGTTTACAGGCGTGAGCCACCACGCCTGGCTGCAAATTTTGTATTGGGTAATGCAGTTCTACTGCAGGCCAGTAGGTGGTGATTGCAGGTGACAGACAGCTGTGGAAGAGGATGATGGGTATAAACCTGATCTTTGTTTACTTGGGGGAGCTCTCTGTTGCCTCATGCCATAGGCTTGTCTGTGGAATGCCCTGTGTCCTGAGTTCTCTGCTCACCCTCAGGATGGGAGATGAAGCTTGGTTATACATCAGTGAGGAGCATAAGCACCATCCCTGTGGAGGGTGGCAGGGGGAGTTCCTGGTGAAATGAGCTGAGGTCTCTGTTTGGGGGGACATGGCTATACCAACTCCACGTCATGGGAAGGCAGGAACGCCATTGGCTTCCCTATCACACCCCTGTCCTGGGGCTCGCATCTTTCAGTTCAGACAGACACTGCAGTATATCTCTAGGACACAATGTACCTGAGAGCCACAGAACACACCTGTCCCGAAGCTGTGTCAAAATGGCTTCAAGATGGAGTCTCTTCCCTCAGCCCCAAAGACAGCTCTGTGGCTCACTTGTTCTATGCTGCAGAGACGCTGCTGCTCCATGTAGAGAGGAGAAAGGCCCCTACTTTTCTGCAAAAATAGGCCTGGTAGGCCCATTGCCAAAAGGGGTGCTGCCACCCACCTAATAGCCCTGGAATGGCCCTCTTCAGAGACACAAGTCTGCCCACCCTGTGTAAGCAGCCACAGCTGTGTTATCTTCAGTGTGCATGGAGAAGGGAGGAGTCTCCCTCTCCACTACTGTGCCTGAGCACTGGTGCCACCTGGCCCCTTGGGTGAAACCACACTTCTCCACTCATATCTCTGCTGGAAGGAGTACAATCACATCCAGTCCACAGTGGGGAACTCTCAGGCACAAGAGAGCAGGTGCTCTGATTTCCTTTGAACCAAGGGGCACTTCCTTTGCACCCTGCAGTCTATCTTCCAATAGGAGCATCACACCACAAGGGCCAGACCACCAGTAGTTTCACAGCTCCCCTGGGTCCAGTGACCCCGTGTGGTTGCTGGAATACAAATGGGCACTGGAGAGTATCTCAGGGATTTGGTAATGTGGACACACAAGGGCTGAGATTCCCTGGGCAAGACAACTTTCCACAATGTGTGTGCACCCAGTATGATGCCTACTGCTGCAGCTCGGATGTAGGGGAAGGGTGGATGATCCTGTGAGAGCTGGTTGTGTAGTGCATTGCCCTCCAAAAATTTCCCAAATTACCTCCTACACCAGTGCCTGGGCTCACAGGGGTAAAGGAGACTTTTGACAGTTTGGAGACCAGCAGTCTGCCACAGGGGTGAGGGGGAGTCAAGGACACTGCTATCTAGCCTTTCCACAGCACGCTAGGTGCCTCGGGATTCAATCTCTGTCACACCCTTGCTTCCTTCTTTTTTCTGTGTCCTGTTTTATTCCTGTGAGCACTCTCCCCTTAATCTATTTCAGTTGTAATTATTCACCTGTAACTTTGGTTCTTTCTAAAGAGAACTGGCCTCTGATGTCTCCAGTCAGCCATCTTGAAAAAAGGGGGTTGCATTTTTATATTTTATTTAGATTGCATTTTTAACCCAGGAACTATTTATACATTTAGAAAAAGGCAAATAATCTCACTAAGAATACAGCTGCGTCATTTCTAAATGCACTTTCTTTGAGTAGCTTCTGAAATATTTGTGGAAATTATTTTCTAAAGTAGTGCTTCCTAAAGAGTTTGGAAATGATCAAGGCCTTGAGAGATTTTGCGTAGAATGTAAAATTGTTAGAAAATGTGTTTAGGAAATGTTGGATTAAACAGCACTTAACAGATTTCTAAACAACATGTATTTCAGCAATTTTATCAAGCTAATGTGCGTTATAAATCTTCAGAGAAGGGTTCTTAAAATATTCTTATTTCCCCTTGACATAATCAAAAGAGTCATACTCAAGATTTTGTGCAATATGATGTCTCTACAAAAAAGAAAAGCCACCTTTGAGCTATTTCGGAATAGATGCCTCATACATATATGCTGAAATGCAAACTCAGAAGGTCTAGCACTACTTTTATAATGACTTGGGTGAATATTATCCATTGACTTGATTACAATCCTATGCTTTTTTTCCTGCTTAGGTTTTTCTCCAAATGTCAAAACAGCTTTGTAAGAAATAAGAGGAATGGAGAATTTCAAGTTTATTGTGTGCCTTCTGATTTCAGATGTTTGCTTCTACCCAGACGCAGTTTTTAATTTCTGAAAGAGATTAGATATTATCTCTGAATAAGAATTCTAAATATCATTTTTACATTTACTCAATTTATAAATTACACAAGAAAATTAACTTTTTCTAAATAATGATGTTTCCATTTATGTCAGATATTTCTATGAACTGTCGATGAGAAATTAATTTCTAAATAACCTTACAATTAAGGTATATCCTTAGAAGAGAGTTTGAAAAACATGTTTCCATGATACTAATGTATTGCTAGTAAAATTGCATTACTATGTAAGTAGAATTATAACTAATAAAAACATAAGTAATATACATAAATTATGATTTGAAAATAGGCCGGGCGCGGTGGCTCATTCCTGTAATCCCAGCACTTTGGGAGGCTGAGGCGGGCGGATCACGAGGTCAGGAGATTGAGACCATCCTGGCTAACAGGGTGAAACCTTGTCTCTACTAAAAATACAAAAAATTAGCCCGGTGTGGTGGCAGACGCCTGTAGTCCCAGCTACTCGGGAGGCTGAGGCAGGAGAATTCCGTGAACATGGGAGGCAGAGCTTGCAGTGAGCCGAGATCAGGCCACTGCACTCCAACCTGGGTGACAGAGCGGGACACTCTCTCACAAAAAAAAAAAAAAAAAAAAAAAAAGAAAATAATCATGCTCAATACACATGCAACTAGAATTATTTACATATAATAATTCAAACATAAGAATGTCATAGATTTTATCAGAATTAGGCAATCTGTAGAGCTCAAAAAAAGAATACAATTGCTAACCTTATTATGCATTAATTTAATTCCAAACTACCATTCAACTGATTAGATCATAAAGTAGCATAGGCCTCCTGCTGTGTGGGTGTTTGCAAAAACACAGCAATCCCAAATATCTAGTAATGGGAATGGTGCTGAGTGTAAATTGTTGATAATTTTGTTATGACACTAACTAGTTGAGAGCTATTGATGACTTGGAAATCTCTTTATATTGGCAAAATTTTACTCTATCTTGAAATGTACATAAGACAACATTCATCTATGATTTGTCTCTAGAATGGCTAGTGATGAGCTAGTTTCATCATAGAGAGTGTAAGTAATTTACAATTCCAGAAAGTATACTTGATAAACTCCAAGAGGAAGTATTTAACTTAATAATTCTAGGTTTCCAGTCAAATGAATCCTTTTTGAACTAATGCTTTGTTCTTTTATTTCATATTTGCCCTACTCCCTTTTCAAAACATGCCTCTTAATAATAAATTTGCTTAAGAAATAACTTCAAACTTTTAATAACATATGATATAAGGGACTACATAGCTTCTCTAGAGACTTTTTTCCTGATTTCAACATTAAGAAGTTATGTTTTTATCTATTTTTCTGAGTGCACTTATTAATGTGTGAAAGTCCTTTAAATTCTGTTTCTGATTATTTCACTTTAGAAGGAAAGGAATGCAAATAACTATCTAGGTATAAAATATTTTTTATTATCATTTCAGTTTGGAAATGAGACACAGACTAAATATTGAGATATCAATATGTCTTGGTAATGTGTTATATAGTTAGAATTAATTTAATACTGGGTAGAATTTCCTGTTTACAATAATGTTTTGCTATTTAAGATTCCTGAATTTATCTTTAAGTCTTCTAAGAAATTTAACTAATAATTTAGTTTGCACAGACATACAGATACACACAGTTTGCTCCTCTGAGTGTGCTTTCAGAGTAAAGAAGCCAAAGGGAAGTCTGTCTCTACCCCTGCTGTCTTAACAGCGTTGAAGACATGAATTAATGGGGCAGTGCCTTACCATGACAGGAGAGGCACAGCACTCCAAAAGAGCTAAGCTCTGGTTTGGGGGATGGAGTGGCTATCGTATGCAAGATGTAAATGTTTATGGTGAAAAGCAATCCAACTTAATCACTGCAAAGCCAGATTTGAAAATGAGGTTCCAGAAGAGGAGAAGTCATACACCAAGACATGCCATCAACATAATATTGCTAATATATTGCTTTCCACAGGTCACAATTCTAAGGAACATTACAATCAATTTTGATTACCTGTTGTCTTGAGGTCAAGTGAGCAAGAATAAAACAGACAGAAGTGTGTTCATACTTTTATCATTTCCTTCTGTACCCAACTGTGCACTAATGTTTGTTAAGAGTTTAGCATTGAGAGCTCAATTTGATTGGCCTACAACACAGGTTGAAGAAGAGGGCAATAAACTGATTCACCTGGTCCCATTTCTGTAATCAGTGCATGAGCCTTCTAGAGTAATTTATTTATTCAGTTAAAGATTCTGTCATCTCCTGCCAAATAAGTTCACATATTTGTTTACCTGTCAGTACTTCCTGAGTGTTCGATTGTTTGCTTGATATTTATGTTGGTATGTGCCTTTGTTTGAGTAAAAATTTCATAAAATTTTTCTGGTTAGCTCTCTGGGTCTGGTATTTCAATGGAGTGTATTATATTATATTCTCCTGGGAGCTGATATTTATAAGATCTGAAGCCTAGGTAGAAATAAGTTTTTGTAGAAGAACCCTGAAATATGGGGTCCCCCTTTAACACCTGTTGAAGAACTTAAATTTATACATTCATTTGTTTTATTTTTAAAGAAACAGTAGCTGCATATGTTTTTCCAAGCAATAAAGTACACCTTGTACATTTTTGTACAGCAGGTTTAAGTATGCAGAATGAAATATTATCAATAACATACATAAAATATATATAATTTGTGTATCTACATTAGTGCAGCAAAATTATGTAGTCACACAATACTTCCAAAATTGCTAATTTTATTTCAATGTCATTTGATATTATCATATAACAATCAAAACAGCTATTAGGTTGGTGCAAAACTTATTGTAGTTTTTGCCATTAAAAGTAATTTTCCTTTATTCTCTTTTGTGCTTACATTACTGTCTTTTCTTAGACTTCAATACTTTAAACAGATATATAACTTTTATTCAAATACAATTTCTTTGTTATAACTTTAACAAAAGTTATAAGTAGGCAAATTAACATTTGGCTTGACCTCCAACTATTACTACTTCAAGTTTCCCTCTTGCTGGTTAGTATTGCTTAAGATAAATCATGACACTTAAAGGATTCTGAAAAGTTTTCCTTATTGAGAGTTAAATTAGTCATAATTACAAATATAGAGAAAATTCTATAGAAAATCTATTGTATAATGAGGGGCTGAGATTAATGGTTAAAACTACAGTTAATGACATTTACCCTAGGATTTTTAGCGTAACATAAAAGCAATCTAAGAGAACGTGTTGCTATTTTAAAATGTGAACCGGCATATGGAGAGATTCAATCTGGGTTAAAAGGAAAATAAATAGATTGAAAGAGAAAAACTGAGGTAGAGGAGAGTTATTGCACATTCAGTATTTGATTTAATCCCATATTGAGTTCCATATGTTCACTTGAGAGGCACAGAGAGCCAAGAATATAAAATATCTTTTTTTCCCACTAATTACATAGGCATGGTTTTCAAAGCAGAAGCTCTTTTGCCCACCAATTTTAATCAGAATATTGACATTTTTTTTTGGAAATTTCCATCATCTTCTAAGAACTGAATATTTAGAGTATAACATTTTGTTCCAACCAGTGAAGCTATTAGAAAAATTTTATGAAACCCTTCAACCTCAAAGAACTTGCAATTTCAATAAATAATTGACTCATTTTATATATTTAAAGCAAGGTGAGTACTGCCGTTTATAGAAAACTGTAAAAGTGATTTAAGTCAACATTTTAGTGCTCGATGGGTATAAAATAATTGTTATACAGATGCTAATAAAAGTGAGTAGGAATAAATTCCCTTTTTTTTCTTTTCTTTCTTTCTTTTTTTTTTTTTTTCTGATAGAGTCTCGCTCTGTCGCCCAGGCTGGAGTGCGGTGGTGCAATCTCCACTCACCGCAAGCTCCGCCTCCCGGGTTCAAGCCATTCTCCTGTCTCAGCCTCCCGAGCAGCTTGGACTACAGGTGCCCACCACCACGCCGGGCTAATTTTTTGTATTTTTAGTAGAGATGGGATTTCACTGTGTTAGCCAGGATGGTTTCGATCTCCTGACCTCGTGATCTGCCAGCCTCGGCCTCCCAAAGTGTTGGGATTATAGGCATGAGCCACCGCGCCCAGCCCCTTTTACTTAATTATGCTGATTTCAATTAAACATTTTCTATTATAAGAAGGTTCTTTGAAAAGCAACAGGGCAGCCCACATATTGAGGACTTAAAAGAAACAGCAGAAGCTTATATATAAGGATCAAGCAGGGGAGCTAATAAAAACTTCAATATATTTGCCTTAGTTCATTTGTTTACTGTTTTAGAAAAGAATAATATAGAAATAATTCTGGACACGTTATTTACAGAGACATGTATTTTTACTGGAGAAAAATAAAAAAACTGTATTTCCCAAAAATGCATATAATATCACAATGCTAGGCAGAATTCCTATATTTTTTTCTTTCTGGCGTGATTGCCTTCTTCCCACCCACTCCTGATACTCCTGTTTTTGAGGATAGTTCCATTGTTCTATTTCCTCAAGAATCCAAAGGCACAATCTTAGCATTATTTTATGTACCATTAGCTTAATACTTACTAGAAAATAGTAAATGGGCACGTGTATTGCAAGCTATGCAGGACACTATAGAGGTTCCAGACATAGAATAGGTTCCCGGTGTTGTGAGACTGATAAATCAAGAAAAAGGGACAAGGCTAAAAACTGATTCAAGGCCAATAATTAGAAAAATAACAGTTTTTCTAACTCAGGGTTTTCCTAATTATTCACTTAGATTTCATGGCTTGACCTTTTTTTCATTTTTAAAAAGAGTTGGTCATACAGTGTGTCTTCTGACTTCAGAATGAAGTGATGGCATATATTTTAAAATAAGTAAAGCATAAAAAACCAGTATTTCCTGAATGTTTGTGCAAAGAAGTGAATATCTCAGTTGATCATGGAGACATAAACTAGTATTTGAGTGCCTTCTATGTGTCAAGCATCAGCTAGATATTTTCAATTACATTATCTCATGAGGGACCCATAGGAATCCTAGGAGAAAGTGTTTTAATAACCTTGTAAAAAGTAATGGATAATGCCTTTTTCTGAGTGAAGTCTACATGGGTTATTTTTTAAAGAATGATATAAAAATTTCTGTTCCTGAAGAGATCTTTCAAGAGGTTATTTTGGAATTCCGTTTTTTCTACCTGAGATAATATGTAAAAATATTCAAATATTATCTTTAGCCTTCTACTGAAGATATTTTTCTTTTTTATTCCAAATGTTCAGAACCCATGAGTGCTTTTCATAGCCAAACTTCATGAGGATTACTTCGGGTTTCTTAAAAGCAAGGAGGTGATATTATCTTTTTCATTACCTTGTCTTGGGGAGAAAGACTGGGTCAGGGTGATAAACAGTAGGCAATTCTTCATCTCATTGAGACATCTAGGATTCTTCTTGTTTCCCCTATTGTTTAATAAAAATAATAAAATTGTAAGCAAGTACAAGTATTGCACAAAGCTGTCACAGGCATTCAAAATGATGACATGTTGAAAAGGAACAGAAAGAATCTTATTGTATACTGCTTGGGAAACAATAGTTAAAAGTTACTAGTTCCACAATTTTCAAGGAACAGAATTGATTGTAAGATGCGAAATATTTCTGAAGCCCTAATTTGTAAAGGGGTATTTTATTTTTTATACAGGTAGTTATTAATATTCCTACACACCACCCAACTTAATTAAGGCTTAGTCACATCATGAAGTATGACTGAGGTGACAAGTTGGAATCAAATTAAGACATATAACAATTTCATTTTTCTTTTTTACTGTAAGACTGACACCCATGAGTAAGAATTAATTACACGAAAAAGAAAGGAGAAGGAAATACAAAAGGAAAAACATATATGTAAGCTTCTATAAAGTCTGTAAACAATATAAAATACTTATATGTAGAAATCTGGATTAATCTACTTAAGAATTCTCTTTTCCTTGTTTTAAAGAGAAGGAAGCCAAAAAAATACAAGAGCAAATTTTATAAAATTTTAAAAATTTAAAAAGTCTTTCTTTGTTATTACATAGGTTTAAAAAGTGGTTAATAAGTATTCAAAGTCTTACTTAAGTTGAATATGTATAACCATTTATGCTGATTTAACTCCAGTGCTCATTTTGCCCAACTCCACAAGCCTCAGCAATGTTACAAGACAAAGCACTTCCCCTCTTTATGGCAGCTTCCTGGCTGCCTCCTCTCCTCTTTAGAATGGTAGCATCATTCAAATGAGAGGACTTTGCCAATATTCGATGATAATTGGAATGAATGTTTCATACACTTAAAATTGAACTTTCAAAGTCTAATTGCTAGAAAGCACATACACTTAAATTTGATACTGTAATTAGATTACTTCAGCTGCAATTATAGGATGAAATGTGTGTCTGTGTTTGTGTGTGTGATTTTAATAGTCAAACTGTAAGTTATTTATGTAGAGATAATATTAAAAACTAATAGGAGAGAGATTAAAAGATATTTATCATTGGTTTTCTGTGTATTTACCATAAATTTACAAGTAAAGGCTGTATATATTATTAAAAAAATAAACTAGAATTAGCTTTAAAAATTCTTTAAAATTATCTCCTCAATAAATTAAAGTTTGGAAGGCAGAGAAATGTTTAAAAAGTATCATATTTTCAACAATAGCAAAAGTTACTTCACTGTAAATTGGGATGGGAGATACTCACCCTGAATGTTTATTCTGAATGTTTTGTCTAATTACATAATCTATACATATAAATGTTAGATAATGCCTTCACCTTGGCATTGAATTAAAATTTTGATATGAAAGAATAATATTTTTGTTAAACATATACACTTTGGCAAGGAAAATATTTTAGGTGAAGGGATAAAATATATTTGGCGACATTTGGTTATAGAAATACCAGAGTAATTTATAGAAATTGTGTATCACAATAAAAAATGCTTTAATAATGATGTAAACTCCTGCACTTGAGACTAACAGCTTTAAAACCATATCAGTTTCAAAGACTAGTTGGAAGTCTTTAAATTCTACTACTACAAAGAATGAAAAATTTAAGAAACAAATATTCCACGGAAGACGAGAGACTTATGAAATGCTCCTTTATGTTAAATCTTTTCTCCCTAAGGATAGGTTCTTTGCTTGCTTCAAAGTAAGACTTAGTGGTTACACTAAGCCAGCTGGAAATAGATTAATATATTGTTCTGTCCCTTCATCCCTGAAATTTTACTTTAATTTTCTAGTCTCTTTCCATTTATAACGATCAGAGAGGAGAAGGTACACATGGCTCTTTTGCAGACAGCCACTTGGATAAATGTTGTTGTAATTATTACCTGTGGCACAGCAATGTGGCCTGGACATTCCACGAACATGTGGTCACTATTTGGAAAGAGGCCTGCACTTCATCAATTGAAAGCCAGTGTCATATTAAGGACTTAACGAATAATGAATAAAGACCAGCATTCACATGAGTTAAATTAAAAGTTGTTTTTTTTTTCTTCTTACCATAGAGAGCCTCTGCTTTGACTCAATATTTAATTAAATAAAGACTAGAATGATTGCTATAATAAAACACATTGTTAAAGCACATTGTAAAATATGAAAAAAAGTTTAACATTTCATACATTTCTATTTTCATAATTTATATACCCATGAAAGTTACTCAGATTTCTCTCTGTATAGACTTTTTTTGTCAGTGACTAACATTTTGTAGTCAGCCGCATACTAAATTGCTGTTGACTGCATGAAATAAATTGTTAGTTGTATCAATTTTTTAACCATGAAGTTTGGTTATATTTTTAATTTTACACAACACGACATTTTTATTATTATTTTATTTAGCTTTCAATGTATTTGTTTTATTGTGCCAATTATTGAGAAGTTGAATCATTGCATGTCATAATACATTTTCTTTAAATATATCAGTAAATAATGGTGGACGACTTTGGTAGAAAACAATTAAATATAATCATCTGAAACACTTCTATTGATTGTAGCAATTGTAAAACCCCATGGTAGAAGAAATACAAGCATTGTGTAAGGGAAGTCAAAAGAAACTTTCATAAAAATTACTTCGTGTATGTTTGTGTGTGGGCTGTGTGTGTACACGTTGAGTGTGTGCACATGTGTATTTATTTTTAATGCCTGTCTTTAAAAAGCCTGGAAAATTATCTAGAGTTGTGAAAGGTTACTTAAATTAATACTGGTTTCAGTTATGGCATTCTTTCTACATTCTAAGTAAAATACTAAAATAGCAATATAAGTAATTTTTGTAAAACCATTTACAGCTACAATTTTTCAAATTTGTGGAAGCCTAAGAGTATTAATTAACTAATACTATAAGAGAAACAGTAAAGTGGCCATATTCTCAAAGGAAAATGCAATAACAATAGAAAAAATAGGTAAAATTTAACTTTAAATTTTGCAAAAGTAAGGAGTAATGGATGGCTTTAAAGGTAAATAATAAGAGCTAGAAATGAGTATCAGGGGAAAATCCAAATGCAGATAACAATGAATGAATTCAGGTAGAATCAGATCTTCCCAAAAGAGTTTGAGAATAGTATTTTGGGAAGAAGATTTTTCTTTGAATCAATTTTAATGATCTAATCCAAAGGATAATAAAGAAGTGTGCGTGTGTGTATACACACACATATATAAACATATATGTTTATAAAAGATTGTGATGAATGCTATGAAGCAAATCTACACAAAGAAGATGGGATAGGACATGCTAATGAAGGTTGGGGGAGAGTTACTTAGTCTGTTCAAGAATAACGTCATTTATGTAACAACACTGGAGCAGATAACTAAAGAAGATGTTCCTTGTATCATATCTGGGAGAAAGTTCTAGTTCAAGGAAACTGCAAGTAAAACAAACCTGAGGTAAGCACAAGCTTCCATGACTGAGAATTGGCAACCAGAGCAGAGTGTCTGGAATGGAATAAAAAGACAGGAAATAGTAAGAGATGAGGTCAGAAAATTAAGAGATGGATGTTTTTATGAGACACAGAAAAAAGTATTCTAGGCCATTGTATTGCTGTGTAGGGAAGGAAAGCCATAGGACAATTTCAAGCAGAAAATTCCCCTGATTTGACTGAATTTTCAAAGGGTCATTTTGGCTGCTAAGTTGAGGATTTCCTTTGAAGGGACAGGGGTGAAAGCAAAAGAGCCACCCAGAAAAAATGCTATAGTAATCCGAATAAGATATAATGGTGACTTGGATCTTGATGCTATCAGTAAAGGTATTCAGAAGTGACTAGACATTGGATATATTTCGAAGGTAGAATCAACAGGATTACTTAGTGACATAATAGTTTGACATGGCACTTGTGAGAAAGAGCCTAAAAGAAGAGCAAAGAGAAAAGCATAGGATAACTCCAAGTTTGCGGTTCTGAGAAACTTAGAAAATAACATTAGTCTTTACAAATGGAGAAGCAGGAGGAAGTAAATTTAGTTTTTGAATGCGTTATGTGTGAGATGTAGAGTAGATATGAGGGGGGAACACACAAAATAAACTTTTGGATAATATGTCTGGAGTTCAAAAGTGAAATGTAAAAAAGATTTTCAAACTTTTGAAATGTTGCTATATAGGGAATATCAAAGGTATAATTTCACTTGAGATTGCATGCATACATACATGCAAGCAAAATAATAGAAGCTTTCCAAACAGAGAGCTCCAGGTCAGTTTATATTAAGAGGGCAGTCGGTGAAAAATGGACTAAAAAAGAGCAACCAATGAGTTTGGAAGAGAAACTAAGTGAAGACAGTGTTTAAAGGAGGACAATCTTATCAACTATGTCCAATGCACCTAATAAACCCAAGAAGATATAGACTAATGAGTGAATATTGAAGAAAACGATATCACCGGTGCCCTAGACATGAAGAGAAATGGTGGGAATGCAAGGTAAGAACATAGCCTGATGTACAGAATTCAAGCTACAATAGCAAGAAAGGAATTAGAGACACCTTTAGGCAATTCTTTCTAGTTGTGTTTTAGAAGAGAGCAAAGGAATAGAGTGATAGCTCGAGGGTAAGTATGATAAGGGGTGGACTTGTTAAAGATGGGAAATGCTACAGCAAGTTTAATGCTAAAGGAAATAATCTGGTGGAGAAAAGAAAAATGATACATGAAGTACAATAATCAGAGGAGACAATTGTTCAAGTGTCATCCTGAATAAGTAGAAGAGAATAAATGGGCTCATGAGCATGAGTGGAGGAGTTGGTGTCAGATTAGAACACAAATGATTCATTCAAAATGAATCCATTCATTTTTTCAACACACTTACTAGGTACTATTATTTTTTGCCATTATTGTGCTAGAAAGTAAAAATACAAAAATGAATAAAACAGGACCTGTATCATGAGCATTAAAATCTGGAGGAGAAAGGATTGATATAAATCTATTTTAATACATTTTTTATTTAAAAGGAGTGCTCCACTAGAGGTTCAAAATACGTTGCTCTCATTAAAGACAAAATGTGTAAGTTCCAAGAGAATGGGTAAACATTCATGAATGAAGTTTTCAAAAAGACCTCACAGAGAGTGATAAACATTCATCCCAAGTTTAAATGATGGAGAGACCATTGTAATCATAAAACATAGTAATCTCAAAGGCAGAGAGGTGTCACAGGTTTAATGGGTCTGTAAATAATGTGGATGGCTTAGGGTGCATTTACTGTAGCTTAGCAGGAGAGGCCAATGGTGGCCACATTCAGGGTTTTCTGTGTCTTGCTGAAAATGAAATTCCTCATGTGTGTTTTGGGCTGAAATATAGGAGGGATTAAGGAAGCCTGTCACATTTCTTAGTTGGGTGACTAACTGGGTGAAAATTCAATTACCAGAATAAAAGTTTAGAGTATAGATATAAATTCAAATTGCATACTCTGAGTTTGGGATGCCTGTGTGAATCCTCCCTGTTGGAAAGTATATCTAGGTGGTAATATGTAAAGGCACTCACAGGTGTACATTTAAGACTCAGATATGGTCAGGTGCATAGCATCATGAGCAGGGGCTGATGCAAGTTTTACAGCACCAGAAGGAAGCCTGTACAATTTGGAGGCCCCTTAATAATCTATACATTCTAAAATACAATATTAAGTATAATTCCTAAAAATAAGCCCTATATAAATGAGGTTTTCTGAAGCTTATACTTTATTAGTACATTAGTAAATCTTTTCATGAGCAGGAGCTGTTGTAGGGAAACATAAAGCTATGGACCTGGAAGGGAATACCTAGGTTAAAGAGAGGAGGGAGAAGAAAAGAACACGAACATCTTGAGAATAGATTTTAAGTGTCCTCACCACATAAACACATAATGGCAACTAATGGTAGTGATGATGTATTAATTAATTTGATTGTGGTAACAATTCCACAATGACTTTTTGTGGAGAATCATCATGTTGGGCACCCCAAATGTACACAATTTCTATTTTCAGTCATACCTAAAGAAAACTGAATAAAAAGAGTAATCAGTGTAAAAGGAACTGAGGTAAAATACTGAGAAAGAGCAGTCAAGGAGGAAATAACATAAAGAATTCAAGGAAGGAGAGGATTCCCATAGGAATATAGGTTCATAATGTATTAAATATTATGGAGTCTTACGGGTACAAGTAATTATTTTGTTATTAAGTGATTTATTAAATGAATTATTTTATATAATTTGTAAGTAGATGAGATGAAAAATAGTTATTAAAAATGCTGTCTGACAGATAACTATTATTTTGGGACAAGACTTAACAAATTTTCTAGGCAAAGAATCACAAAAGGTAACACATTTGAAACATACTGTCACTGCATCCTAAATTCATATCTAAATAATGAGTGATTTTTATAGACCTGGACACCAAAACTTCAGCAAATATATTATTTTAAATAAACCTTGAGTCACATGTACATAAGTAGGCTTCCAATGATAATTGGTTGTTTTTACTTCAGTGCAGTAAAAATATTAGTGCAACGTAGATAAAACTTTTAAAATACTACATTCATAGCATCTCATTATACTTAAAATAAAACTATCGACTCTCTTGAATATTTCAAAATGGATGTCAAATATTAAAATCATATAATCATCATAAAATAACTTTTTATTCAAAAGTTTCATTTTCATTCTGTCAATGTATCTGTCATCAATTGATAGACCAAAGTGTGCTTGAACAGAATGTAAAACAGGATAAAAATTATTCTCACCTTTTAAAGTTTGTGTGTGTGTGTGTGCGTGCACGTGCATGCACGTGAATCTGTGTGATTATGCAAAAGATAAAAGGTTTTCTTGAAAGTATTGAGGCAGCTGCACTCTTTTCAGACTGATTCCTTTTTCATGAATACAAAAGTAGCATTTAACTTATCATTGTACTCAAGGGCTTATTTTATAAGCAATATAAAAGCAGCTGGGAAAATGATTTTGTTACTTTTAGCATGGCTAGGTAATTAAAATTTTCTGGATTAAAGGTATTTGAGTGTTGTCTATGTTGCTGATGATAGCTCTTACTAATGATATTAGTGCAGTAATTTTCCAATTTCAAATGTTAAGTATTTTTGTGTGGTTAAATGATTTTGTTGAATCATATGGATAGATTAAGTATGAAATTGAAGCCATGTACATTTTCAGGAAATTTTGCTCTTGTACTTCAAGCTGCACAACACTTCCATAGCATCTCTCCCACACATTTTTTTCTGTTGCTTTTTTTTTTTTTTGGCAAAGGGAATGCAGGGGAAGGAGAAAGGATCACTAAGTGGTACCTTCTTCTTGTCACCATAGTAACAGGAAAATGTAATTATGCAAAAAAGAAGAAATATTGCAAGGTAATAGAAGAGAAACACAATTGGATCAAGAAACTGATGTTAAGGCTGAAAGGCACACTGAGAGGTCAAATATCTAATTCCTTCATGGTCAAGAAATAGTTCATTCAAGTCTTTCATAGAAAACAGAAGTTAAAAAATACTACTTTAACTTCTGATGATTTCCAGAAATGAAAATTCAACCTCGCTGTCTATAATCATTTATTCAAATGTGCAGTTACATTATTAATGCAGATTATTCATATTTATTAGTAGTCAAAGTTACCTTGAATATTTGTAACATTTTCAAATGTACCCTAAAAATAGCAGTTGTCCTGATAATCTCCATTTTTCTGAACAAAATAAAGAGTTGTTTCTTTGCATTCATACATAGAAGTTAATTTTTCCTTTTGTTTTGTTACTTTTTCTTTGAATCCATTTTATTCGTAGACTAAAATTAGAATAGTGATCCCAAGTTTTGTTTATTTCAAATTAAAATTAATAACTTAAATCACAGTGATGTTCAGCCAAGGTTAATTCGACACAATTTTTGTGTATATGTGGTATCAATCTCACTTGGAGGAAGAAATAATAGTATTGCATTAAGAGGGAGTTTCAACGTTCTTTGGAACTATGAAAGTTGACAATTAACTTCCTCCACACTTTCTAAAAAAAAAAAAATTCAAACTAAAATAACCACATACGGATCAAAAGAGAAAACAAGTAAAATCAATCTGCCTATAGTCTATGCCCTAACATTTAAACAAGGCAGGTAATTCAAGTTTCAAAGTGCAAGTTTTAAACTGCAAGTTTTAATTTCCATGTATGTTGGGAAATACAAATCTCTGACCATCAGAGTTACCAGGGAAGTCCAAATCAGAGTAAAGCAGGGAAGAGGCAGAATAGAGGAAATTGCACAGAGTCCTGATGGTGAAGAGAAACAGAAAATATTAATCAGGATTATTCTAAGAAAGAGACGTTTTCACATGAGTGTGAAATTATTAAAAACAGGTCAGAGATCTGGTGGATCAAAGAACAGAGCACGGGAATTGTCTGACAGGTACTGTAGGAAGTTAAGTTGGAGAACACGGTGTTCCTTAGAGGCATGATATTAATAGTAAAATAAGAGTGCCACCAAAGTACAATAACATCAAAGACTGAGAATAAATCTGATAAGCCAAGAAGCATGTATTCATGGAACACACATAGAGGTGAAAAGCGAATTGAACATACCAAAACTAAGAATCACATTGGTTACTGAAAGCCTTCTACACCTCCCCTCCCAGCTCAGACTGAACTGATTATTGTTTTAAGAAAATCCAATGCAAATAACTATGAATTGAAAAAACATAGCTCTCATTTTAAAAACAGTGCATGAAGAAAAAATAATAAAAACTTTTCAGTAGATAAATATATTCCCGCTCTAACACATGCACATACACTGAAACATGATGGAAAGAAAAACTGGATCTTCATACCTATTTGAATACAAGTAATTTAACCAACACTGAGGAAAAGAGAGAACATTAAAATAAGAAATTCACAAGGTCAAAACACGCATTACAAGACAGAAAGATAGGAAATGATAGCTGATAAAACTCAGAAAAGAGATGAAAGAAAAAGACAAAATTCTCTCCAAAACGAGATCTGAATTACATTGTGTCCAATGAAGAGAGATGAGTGAACTTACAGTAAGGAATACACAAAATAGAACCAAAGTACAATTCCCTTTACCTCATTCTTTAATAAATCCTCTCCGATAAGGCTGTGCCCCTGTGCTTTCCCACTGAACAATTTTTTTCAAGAGCATCAATCACCCACACACTGGTAATTCCACTGGATAGTCTCTTTCCTTGTGGGAAATCAGCAGCATTTAACACAAGTGATCACTGTCTTCTCATTAATATTCTTATATTTGCACTTTGGCTATAAGAGTGCCACACTTTGTTGGTTTTCCCCCTACCTCTCTATTTATTCTCAGTCTTATTTCTGGTTCCTTCTCTTCTTGACCTGCAAACCTTGGGTAACCCCAGAGCTCAGTCCCTAGGTGTCACAATTTATTTGCACACAATTCATTTGTTGATCTCAATAGTCTTGTGATTTTCATTAATATTTATTCACTGACAAGTATTAAATGCGTATGCCCAATCTTGTAGTTTTCCCTGAACTGCAGTCATTAAAGGTGTCTCTGAGCAAGGTGTAAACATTTTATATTCCCCATGGAAGATAAAAATTTAATATCCTCCACTGTGGCGGAAGTTTATGTCGACTATCATGGTTTTATTTTTCTCTATTAAACTTCATCACCATTTTACATTGTATGTGTTTAATTATTTATTTCTTCACTGTCTGTCTTCACTAATGTAAACTCCATATGCCTAGTGCCTACAGTTGTGTTTCATACATACTATGAGTTCAAAAAACAGTTTTTGAATAGCAAATGAATGAGTGATTAATAAATCACTATCACTCAACTGCGAGTTAAAATCCTATATTTCTTCAATAGGTATATTATTAATGCACTTAATTTACCACCATATAAAGATTAATTGACTATTTAAAATATTATTTGTGAAGGTGATAGTTTAATTATTTTCTGTGAGATACTTTGGAAAAAGATTAATATTAAAATATTCTGAGTTTAGATTCATGTTTCTAGTAAGGTGTACATGATTATATGTTTGGCTAATCTACCCTGGATGTTTTAATTTTAGATTGATGAGGCTGTGTTTAGTTTTATTAAGGAAAAAAAAATCACTTTTTTCTTCGGGTGACTAATTTTGAAAAGAACCATGTGTCTTACTTCTAGATTCACCTATTGCTTTCCTACACTGCCTGTATGATCCACCGATTTTTAGCAAGTCACATGTCACATTCCACTAATTGTATACTCAGAATTTTGCATTACATTCTAAAAGGTAATATTATTTTCTATGTAACAGTTATTATGATTGGTATAAACACAGGTAGAAATACTTTATAACTTAAAAAAATTTCCCATTTATTATAAGGCTAAAAGGCTAAAGTTAACGTTTGCAATTATTTTTGTGTGTTTTGTTTCACTGATTGGTGAGGGCTTTAATTATCCTGTCCTTGGTCATGAGGGAATATTTCATACATGCTGTTATATTTCAAAGACGTGTGTGTGTGTGTGTGTGTGTGTGTGTGTGTGTGTGTGTGTGTATGCAAAAGGAACACAGAAATGTATAAGTTGTTCCTAAACTCATCCAGTTCATTGATTCACAATAAATAAACAGATTGAAAGCCTTTGTCAATGCTATCAGTACCCTGCCTATAGCCTCTTAATTATGCCTCAATGCACAGCAGCTAGACTTCCAAATGCCAACAAGTGCAGTTATTTGCCCATAGGCTTTCTCTAGCCACTAGCCCTGCTTTGCTTCACCACGTGTCGATCCAGAAGTGCCAGGAAACTAACAATGTAAGAATCAACCTTAAATAGATGACTGATGAGAGTCGAGATTCTACATACCTTAAGGGGAAGCAGAGTAGAAAATCCAGAGGTGTATATTTTGCACTGCTCTTAGATGTATCTGAAGGAAGCAAGCTCCAGATACACAGCGATACTTTAATTGATAGAGACATTGATTTTTTTCCCTTTTCCTACCTTGCTTCCCCCACCTACTTAATGTGCTATCTGGGATTGCTTCCTTGATTCATTTCTTCTTGCTGCTGTAATACATTACCACAAATATAGTGCTTAAAACAATGCAAATGTATTATCTTACAGTTCAGGAGGTCATAAACCCCAAATCAATTCTACTGGATCAAATTCAAGATGAGGGCATGATTGGTTGTTTCTGGAGGCACTAGCAGAGTATCTATTACCATGATATCCCCCTGCCAACCACTTACAATACAAGGACCATTGTGATTACATTTAGCCCACTTAGGTAGTTCAGGATAATCTCCCCATTCCGTAATCTTTAATTAAATCAGAACTGGGAAGTCTCATTTCCCAAGACAGTGACACCTTCACAGGTTCCACAGATTAAGTTATGGGTATTTTTGAGGAAACATTGTTCAGCCTGACACACATCTCAAATAAATTAAAGGCACTTGAGACCTTGCTTCAGGTCCTTCTTGATACCGATACCTCATCTAGAATGATGTAACATATTGAACAGAAATTTACTAAATTAAAAAACTTAGGAACAGAAAGTTCCTCATTTTTCAGTACAGTTTATGCCAAGAATCTTTGATTTTGTGTGACAGTTTTCTAATAATTCTGGTAATTTTTTTATAAATAGTGAAAATGCAAAAACAAGAATTTCCTTGTACAAGAGTTCCTTCCTAGCATTTTGGGAATAGTGTAAGGGGGAGGAATTGCTATGTTAACATTTGTTTTATCAAACATCATAGATAGATTTCTCTCATTAAATTTAATTAGCTTTCAGAATCCAAAGCTACAATTCAAACTCTGGCAAAATTTTAGAAAGAAAACAATATAATATTAATAGAAAAAATACAAATAATAAAAGTAAATATATATAGAAGAGTTACTATATGCAACACAAACTATTAGTGCTTTGCATGCATTATATTATTTGATAAGTAACAATAACTTAAGCTGGAAATTATATTATCTATATTTTCCAAATGAGAAAATAGGTGTTAAGGAACTTTCCTAATTCACATGACTTGGAAAAAAAATGTGTTGTATCCATAAAAATGTATGTGAAGAGTACTAGTGAAGTTCATATGTTGAGGAAAATATGTTCCATAAGAGATGGGATTCTGTGCTAAGGACCAGAAATGACAGCGAGAAAACCTGTTATGTTCAAATAACTGCATATAGTTCAGTGTGAGGAACACTGTGGAGAGGGATATAGGTAATAAAGAAAAATGAGGCTAGAAAGTAAAGCAGAGAGCAGATTCTAATCTAAATGGTCCTATTATACCTAGTAAGGAATATGAATTCATTAAGATAATTCAATGAGAGGATAAAATAATGATATTTGGATGCTGAGGATAACACATTTTGCAGAATGGTAAATGACTTGTAATGACACAAACCTAAAAATTATTCAGTCAAGAGACAAAAGTCACAGAGAAAGAAAGTAGTATTGGGGAATAAAAAAAAAATAGTGTCACAAGGTAATTAAAAATGTAGAATTGACTGTTCTCCTTGATTAAAAGTTAGCATAGAGCAGTCATAATATGGCACATCATGAAAGGAAATGTGGAGAAAAGAGCAGAGGTTGTGAATGAAGATGAAGGGTGATATATTTTTAGATGCACTTGATAAATCCACATGGAAGGTGTGGTTCCAGATCTCATGAGAGAAGTCTAGACCAGAAGGGTAAATTCAGAAGATGTTGGCATTTAGTAATAATAGACGATGTAGGAATAGATGAGATGCCCAAGGAGCGAGTGACTATTATATTGCATGAATATAAGACAGAGCCTAAGACAGATCTATGAAAAGCTGCAATGCTAATAATTTAGTACAGGAAGCTTCCCCAACATAGGTTGAGAGTGAGGCAGAAGAAAATTCAAGAGAATTTATGTGTTGGTGAATAATGGGGACAGAGGTTAAGTGGGATGAGGCAATGGAGTCAACGATTACTGCTATTTCTCTAAAGAATTTTGATTTCAAAGTACAGAAGAAAGCTAATGCTGAAGATGAAGTTAGCTAAGGGCTAAGGGAGAGGTTTTTTAATATAAAAAGATCATGCAATTTTGAGTTGCAAATAGTAAAAGAGATGAGCACAAAGAGAGAAGCAGAAAATACAGTATGTGGCAGGTATAAAACTTAGTACAAGCTTTAATGCAATATCGGTAGAAGAAATGGATAGAATTGTGAATAAAATTAGAGGTATTACTCTTACCACTTCATTTAGTATGTCATCAAATGTTTGAATTCCATTACATCTCAGGTTTGTGTTAGATATTTCAGATATAAAAGTTTAAAAAGAAGAAAGAGTTTTATTATACTGATGGAAATGTTAAATAAACAAAATCATTAGTAAGATAATAACTAAATAAAGGAACAGTGCATTATCAAAGGTTAATTCTGTGAAACATAGAACTTGATAGGGATATCAGGAGCCAGTAATGGGTTTGTAATTTAAATTTGGGTATTCTTCAATAAATAGAAGATATAAGGCAAGAGACTGAGTCACTTACATACATGAGGAAAGAATATCTCAAGCACAGGTATGGGTATGGCAGAGGCCCTTAATGAGGAGCCCATGTGCCTGGAGCAGAGAAAACAAAATGGAAAGTAGAAGATGAGGTGGGGAAAATGAAGAGGGGCTAAGATTGTGCAGGGCCCTTGGAACATTAAAAGACTTTGGCTACTACTCAGATTGAAATGGAAAATCACTCGATGATTTTAGAGGAACATATAATCTTATTTGTATTTTAATAGAATCACACTCACTGCTGTGTTGAGAATAAACATTTGGGAGAAAGGCTGGATAGAGGAAGACCAGACTTGTGGTTACAATGGCAATCCAGATGAGAGATGCTTGTGTCCCGGACTGGGGAAATAGAGGTGGTGATAATAAGAAGTGGTATTCTGGATACATTTAGAAAGAAGGTTCGAGAAAAAGGGAAAAGAAAGAAATGCTTATCTGGGAACAAATAGTTATCAAGCATGGGTGAGAGAACAAACTAAGTAAATTTAGTATGACTGGAATGTAGTAATAAAGGTTCATTTGTGATTTGTACTAGAAATTTAAAGTGAGAGCAGTCAGCATAACTTTATATTTTCCTCCAGACACCTTCAGTGCAGGGAACAAGCCCAGAGTAAAGTGAGAGTTGCATTTAACCAGGTTTGTGGTTTCACCAATTAAGTACTCTATAACAAGTGGGTAGAGTCAATGTATATGTGAGGATGTAATTTTAATAATTGACCATGTATTTAAGCTGCATATAGAGGGAAGAGAGCACACCAAGACTTCAGAGACAACAAGGATCAATTGGATTGATGTATTGGAGGCCCTGAGGTGGTCAAACGGTCAAAGGATTGTTGGCATGAGACAGTAGAGGGAGTTATGCAAAGACATGATGCTATAAATAGAGTGTGGATAAATGGCATGGTGATATTATCTAAGGAGGATATCAGGCAGAGAATGGAGACAGATGTAAAGAGAAACACTGCACACATAAGAGGAGGTAAAGAGCAAAGAAGGGTAAAACATGTTGGCATGTTTTAAGATTTGGTCTTTACCAGGCTGATAGTGAGGTAACTGATTTTGAGAAGAGTGACCCATGGATGAAATACTTGCTAAAGATGTGTAAAAACAGAACATATAAGGATATAAGGTTTTGCTAACTAGTGCCAGATGTTTAGTCTAGATCAGTTACCATGACGTTAATGTAATATCAGTTTGGCTGAATATGCAATTTATCTTCCCTGTCATTTTCTGAGTACTGATGAAGATAAGGCAAATATTTACCTTAATACATCACTTTGAGATTGCTAAGTGTAGGAGATGAAAGGAGAGCTCATGCAGATGTGCTGGATGGCCTGATTATGCAAGCAGACAGAGGTGTTTCCACAGGATGAAGACATAATGATCTAGACACAGATCTGGTGGTGGCAGTAGGATGCTGATAAGATATCCTGCACATATGTGAAATGTGAGAGAATGAGCTCGATCCCAGAGAGGGCCTCTTAAGAGAGGCTAGAATTCATTTAAGACAGAGAAATGAATGGAGAACAAATTACCCTGTGAAAGAAGCTGAGGATTTAATGTAGTTTAATGATTATGAGAGCAGGATTCCATAGAGGATGGATTTTCTGGAATGAATATTTGTGTCCCTTCAAAATTCATATGTTTAATTCTAACATCCAGTGTGATGGTGTTTAAAGCTGAGGCCTTTTGGATATAATTAGGTCATAAAGATGGAGTCCTCATAAATGGAAATAATGTCCTTATAAATGTAGAGACCAGAGAGCCACTAGCTGCTTCTCTTCCTGCCATGTGAGGATACAAGTAGAAGCTGGCATTCTTCACCCTGAAAGAGAGCTCACACTGAACACAATCATATTGGCACCTTGAACTCAGATTTCCAGGCTCCAGAACGGTGAGAAATCAATGTTAATTGTTTAAGTCACACAGTCTATGCTATTTGTTACTGCAACCTGAACTACGGCAGTGAATAACATAATTTGATGTTGACGCAGGTAGAATCACACTCTAGTCACATAGCGCTAACCAGGAAGAAGACCCTGATAATTAATAAGTAAAAATATGTGTGTATCCATTTCTCCTCTGTTAACAAGTGTGGTTGAACAAGACGCAAGGTTTATGGCCCAGTTTGTAGGGATGGAGGGTATGCCAGAAATAACCTATACAAAATATCTGTATGAATTTCTGGTTTGTGTGTGTGGGGCGGGGTGGGGGGAGGAGGGAATTAGGAGAGGGGATGGACTCTTCTTTTATATATTACCTGAAAAATAAGGAAGAGTTTTGTTTTTTATGTTTCTTCTGTGAATAAAAACATGGAATAAAATGGTAAATCTATTCAGATAGTTTCAATAATTCTTACAACATAAGTTACCATTCATCTTTTCATTAACTCAGCCAATACCTATTACGTTCCTTAAATAAAGCTAAGCGTTAAGGAGAGGGGTATATTAAATTGAATCATATAGCATTTTTGTTTTTACTAAGCAAAAGATGGCTGAAAAGTGGCAAAATCATATAATTCAATACAATAAAAGATATAATCTTGTATTAGTCTGTTTTCATGCTGCTGATAAAGACATATCCGAGACTGGGAAGAAAAAGAGGTTTAATGGATTTACAGTTCCACATGGCTGGGGAGGCCTCACAATCATGGCAGAAGGCAAGGAAGAGCAAGTCACGTCTTATGTGGATGGTGGCAGGCAAAGAGAGAGAACTTGTGCAAGGAAACTCCCACTTTTAAAAGCATCAGCTCTCATGAGATTCATTTACTATCATGAGAACAGTGCAGGAAAGACCTGCCTCCATAATTCAATCACCTCCCACCAGGTTCCTCCCATGACAGGTGGGGATTGTGGGAGTTGCAATTCAAGATGAGATTTGAGTGGGGACACAGCCACGCCATATCAAATGTCTTCCACCAAGAATCTCAGAATCCAGTGTAAAATTTTAAAAAAAATGAAAGAGTATTATGAAATATAGAGTGATAAATGTTATGCGGGTCAAAGATTTAGGAGGATTTCCTTCTCAGATTATTGTAATATGTAATACGTCATTGTAATATGTACAGTGCATTGATTCAATGGGACTAAGACCACAGATATAAAACATGGACATTTTAAATTCACATCTCAAATAATGCCTGAGTTTTCGTAGTGACGTGCTGATAAAAAACTGACAACAAAATCTTGGGAATCTTTACAAAAACCGTAGTAAACTGCTACTTATTAGAAGTTTAGCATCCTTTGATGACCATGTTTTAACAGAGACAAAATTAAGCAGTATCTGTAAATCCATAAAATTTCATTTAAAGAGATATGTCAGAGAGCATATTTCAGAGTGAAGGCATTTGTGTTTGGCCAATAGGTATTTAGGAGTGAAACAGATATGAGTAAATGGGCATGCTTTGCCTGTACTGTATAGAAATTCTGCTTCTCCTTCTGCTTATGTGTTTATCTATCTTGTCTCTGTTCCTATTTCTATCTCTTCTTCCCCATAATTAACACTATTTCTTCTCTTTAACATAGCCATTAGTATGGACTTGCATCTTCTCAGAAAGGAAAAAAAATAATTGATTTCCAATAAAACAAATACATGACAATTGTTCTTCTACTTTATATGTAACAATGTTTAGCCTAGAAGTATAAAGTAGGGTGAAAGGAAAAGCCCAATGAATGAAAGTTGGAAGCTAGGAAGTAAAAAACAAAACCAAACAAAAAAACTGAATTATGGAATATATGTTACTTTGTATCATTCGGTACCCTCAAATATATTTCTATATGGCTTTTTGTTATTACAGGTATAAATAACTTTTATCCCTTTTTAATTTTTAATATGTATTCTATATATGGTCTTCACTCTTCAAAAGAGATGTCTGTTTTTACCTCTTCTTTCTTCTGAAGCAATTCTACAGGTGAGTAAAGAAACTTTTTATCTTATTACATTTTGATTTTGAACATATTCCCTCTTCAAATTAATTAATTTACTCCACCAGAGGGAAAACTCCATAAATAGTAGAAGGGAGGGAGGAATAGCTGATGTAGCAAACTCAAGAAAAAATTATGTATATATGAGTGCTTTATTAAGGGACCACTATTTTCTTGAAAACAAAATAATTTTCAGATATTGGAAGTAAAATGATAAGGATAACTTCTTTTTGTCTTTCAAAACAGCCTAAAATGTATTTCTTCTAAAAATGTACTAATGATGTTTGCAGTGAGAAACTGAATATTGTCATTTATAAATATTGATTTCTAACCTCTTCTCCCAATTAAGCATGTATGCTCTGACTTAATTTAAATATACAGATATCCAGATATTTTCATTGAATATGAGTAATATTCAAAGATGAATACCTTATAGTTACAAAAACTAAATTCTATTATTATTGAGATTTAAATACTGAGCATCTTTCTACACTTTACAGTGCAGACTTTACAATGTCCTGATATTTGAGAACATCATAACATACAATTCAATTAACACATACAAAGATACACATGGTTCAAATTAACAAAATCAATTCAAAGGTTTTTTTCTGCGTTGCAAGTTGTTTACTTGCAACAGAATAAATTATCATAAGTAGGATGTGCCCTGAGATCAAAGCCCCTTGCAATTTTGTGTAACATAAAGATGTAATTAATTATTTGTGCAACAAGTACTTGAGATTCTTTTATGCATAAAGAAAATATTCATCAATAAAAGCACTGATACTTCAGAAATTATGGTTTGGTAGGGGATAAAATAAATAGGTCCCAATAATTCAAGCCTAGGGTAGAGAGAGAAGGAAGTGTTACAGAAGTTATTCAGAGCAAAAAAAATCATGAAAAATTTTGTAGAGGAGGTTTTTTTTATAACAGTCTTTGAAGAAGTAACATATAACATGCTATTCATAGAGAAAAGGCAATCTAGCAAGAGGAAAATATTCAGCAAAGATACAAAAAAGTGTCATAGAAAATTGGAAGATATTTATTTTTGTAGGGCATATAAAAGAGAAAGTTCTAGAAAAATATTTGGGAACTAGATTTTCAGGAGTGTAGGAGTGTTTAAAGCTAAGGTAAGTTGGGAAACTATATATTTACATTAAATACAAAGAAAATATATTTTACTGGAAAAGGGGATTTTTTTGTATATTAGACCCAGTAATTTTACATGTACTACTTTATTCTACATAAATAATATGAGATTTCAATGCTACTAAATAAAGTATTTTTTCAAAATATTATTTCTAATAGTAAAATTGGGAAATAACTTATTTATTTCCTGTATGTAAATGACAAAATGCCACACATCCACATAGAATAATTTATCTTCAAAGATGACATTTTTCAGGAGTATTAATCAGTGTGGGGAAAAGCTGATTATATAAGAAAGCCAAAATGCAGGATATAGTTTTATACAGGTGCATTTATATAGGTTGCATTTGTATATGCTACTTTTATATCCATGGATTTTTCTATATATTATATCCACATATTTCTTTATATATTTTATCTCTGTATCAAGAAACTGCATGACATTGTATTAAAGTTTTTATAGTTATCTTTAGACAATAAGTTAATTATTTCATAACATTTTTTAAACGGTTCCAGTGAACATATATTACTTTTGGAATCAAAAGACTACAAGATGACCACTTTTTAATTCAATATTTTCCCAGCAATCACTTTTTAAAATTTAAGGTTGTATTCAGAAATAGCCAATAGCGAACACTAAAATAATAGATTTCATAGTTATTATTCAGGGATGTATATAAAAATATAGCTGGGAATGAACAATCCAAAAATTAAATTAAGAAAACAACTCAACTTGCAATAACACTGAAAATAATGAAATAGGAATAAATTTAACAAAAATGTAAAGCTTATACTTTGAAAATTATAAAACACTATTGAAAGAAATTAAAGTTGATCTAAATAAATAAAAAAAATCTCATGCTCATGTATTGAAAAACTTAACATTGTTAAGATGGCAGTAATTTCTAAAATGATCTACAAATTCAATGCAATTTCTATGAGAATCCCAGCTGAGTTATTTGTAGAAACTGACAAGATGATTTAAAATTCACATGAAATTGCAAAGGACCTAGGATAGCCAAAACAATCCTGAAGAAGAATAAAGTAGAACCCACATTCTTTCATTTCAAAACTTACTACAAAGCAATGGTAATCAAGACAATATGTCACTGGCACATATAGATCAATGGATGCACATAAAGATCAATGGTAGACTGATTTTCAGCAAGAATGTCAAGATAATCTAATACAGAAAGAATAGCATTTTCAATAAACAGTGCTCAGACACTGGATAGTCACATGCAAAAGAAAAAATTTGAACCCTTAATTCACATCATATACAAAAGTGAAATTAAATTAATCAAAGGCCTAAATGTAAGACCCAAAACTTAAGACTTCTAGAAAGAAATAAAGGGGTAAATCTTCATGACCTTGGATTTGGCAAAAGGTTCTTGGATATGACACACAAAGCATAAGCGACAAATGAAAAATTAAATTTAGAAGTCATCAAAATGTAAAATTTTCATTCCTCAAAGGACATTATCAAGAAAGTAAAAAGACAACCCACAAAATGACTGACAATGTTTGCAAATTACATATCTGACAAGGGGCTTAATTCTGGAAAACAGTTTGGCAGTTCCTCAAATGATTAGACATACAGTTAACCATATGATTAGACAATTACACTTCTATGTATATACCCAGAAAAAATAAAAACATATTTCCACAGATGAATTTGTGCATAAATATTTATGGCAATATTTGAGATAGGCAAGAAGTGGAAACAATCCAGTTGGCTGTTGATAGACAAAGGGAGGGACCAAGTGTGTGTCCACACAGTGGTGTATTATTTGGCCATAAAAAATGAAGTACTGCTACCTGTGACAACATGGATGAAACTTGAAAACACTATGCCTAGAGAAAGAAGGCAGTCACAAAAGACCACATCTATAATTCAATCCATATGAGAGTCCAGTACAGGGAAATCTATATATAAAGAGAGTAGAGATGAAATGTCTGTGGTATAAAACTTAAAACTTTTAAGTTAATCGATCTGAGTTAGTGAAGGGGTAGATGTCTCTCATCTTCATCACTTGTGTAAATTTCTGGGCTTGGAAGGAAAAGCTTTTGTTGTTTGTTTGAATGTTTGTTTGTTTATTAATGCTTACTCTAAGGTGGATATTTATACACCTTCTTCCTTATTATTTCTGACAAGCTTTACTTAAACATTAATTTGTTAACACTTTCAATCGTATAACCTTCCATTGCAAATACAGAAATCCGATAACACTACTGGAATTGTGTTAACTGTTCCTCTTGTAGGAATATATAATTCAAAATATTTTTCTTTGTTTAAAAGGTGAAATATCTTAAAAATTTGCTTATGCAATCTAACTTCACCCTTAAAGGAACTAAAAAAAAAAATGAGCAAACCAGCCCCAAAGCTAGAAGAAGAAAATAAATAATTAAAATTATAGAAGAACTTAATTAAATTGAGATGCAAAAATCCATACAAAATATCAATGAAACCAATAGCTGTTTCTTCAAAAAAAATAATTAAGATTGACAGATTCCTGGCTATCAATCAAGAAAGAAAGTTCAAATAAGCACAATCAGAAGTTACAAAGGTGATATTACAACTGATCCCACAGAAATAAAAAAGATCCTCAAAGACTACTATGAACAACACTGTGCACCCAAATTTGAAACTGGGTAAATTCCTGGTAGCACACAATCTCCCAAGATTGAATTAGGAAAAGATTGAAACCCTAAATAGACAAATATAAATTTCTGGAATTGAATCAGTCATAAAGAACCTTCCAACCAGGAAAAGCCCCAGACCAGACAGATTCACAGCCAAATTCTACCAGATATAAAAAGAAGAAATGATATCAATTATACTAAAACCATTGTAAAAAATTGAGGAGGAGGGGCTACCAAAATCTGGCAGAGTCACAATGAAAAAACAAAACTTCAGAACAATATCACTCATGAATACAGAAACAAAAATCCTCAATTAAATAATAGAAAATCAACTCCAACAGCATGTCAAAAAGTTAATATGCTACAATCAACTAGGATTTACTCCTGGGATGCAAGGCTGGTTCAACATATGCAAATCAATAAATATGATTCACCACATAAAGAGAATCCAAAGCAAAAACCCTATGATCATCTTCACAGACATAGAGAAAGCTTTCAATAGGATCCAACATATTTTCATGAAAAACCCTAAACAGACTAGACATTGGAGGAACATACCTCAAGATAATAAGAGCAGTCTATGAAAACTTACAGCCAACATCATACTGAATCTGCAAAAGCTAGAACCATTCCCCTTGACAACAGGAACAAGACAAAGAGGCCCACTCTCACCACTGCTATTCAGCATAGTAATGGGAGACACGACATTTCCTAGCAATCAGGCAAGAGAAAGAAATAAAAGGCATCCAAATAGAAGCGAAACTATCACTCTTTACCAATTCTATGATTCTATACCTGCCTGAATAATCCTAAAGACTCAGCCAAAAGGTCTCTAGAATTGATGAACAATGTTAGTAGAGTTTTAGCATACAAAATCAATGTATAAAAATGAGTAGCATTTCTATATACAAACAAATCCAGGCTGAGAGTGAAATCAAGAACACAATTCCACTGTAATAGCCACAAAGAAAATGAAATACCTAGGAATAAAGTTAACCAAAGAGGTGAAAGATCTATACAAGGAAAACACAAAACAATGCTAAAGAAACCAGAAATGACAAATAAGTGGAAAAATATTTCATACTAAAGGACTGGAAGAATCAATATTGTAAAAAGGGAAATACTACCCAAAGCAATTTACAGATTCAGTGCTATTCTTATCAAACTCCCAATGTCATTCTTCACAGATTTAGAAAAAAAATTGATATTCATACAGAACCAAAAAAGAGCCCAAACAGTCAAAGCAATCCTAAACAAAAACAACAAAGCCCAAAGCATCATACTACCCAACTTCAAACTATACAATAAAGCCACAGTAACCAAAGCACCACAGTACTGGTACAAAAGCAGACACATAGACCAATGGAACAGATTAGAAAACTCAGAAACAAAGCTATACACCTACAACCATCTGTTCTTTAACAAGGCTGACAAAAACAAGTAATGAGGAAAGGACTCCATGTTCAATAAATGGTGCTAAGATAACTGGCTATCTATATGCAGAAGAATGAAGCTGGGACCCTAACTTTCACCATATGTGAAAATTAACTCAAAATGGATTAACAATTTAAACGTAAGGCCGAAAACTATAAAAACCCTGAAAGGCAAATAGGAAATAATTTTCTCAACATTGGCCATGGCAAATTTTTTTGGCTAAGTCCCCCAAATCAATTGTAATAAAAACAAAAATAGACAAATGAGACCTAACTAAAGAGCTTTTTGCACAGCAAAAGAAACTATGAACAGAGTGAACAACCTACAGAATGACAGAAGATGTTCACAAACTATGCATCCAACAAAGACCCAATATCCATAATTTATATGAAACTTAAATCGACAAGCAAAAAACAAATAACCCCACCAAAAATGGGCAAAAGACATGTACAGACACTTATCAAAAGAACACATACAAATGGCCAACAAACATGAGAAAATGCTCAGGATCACTAATCATCAGAGAAATGCAAATCAAAACCACAATGAGATACCATTTCACACCATAAAGGCTCTTATTAAAAATTCAAAAAATAAGATGCTGGCAAGGCTCCAGAGGAAAGGAAATGCGTATATATTGTTGGTGGGAATGTAAAATAGTCCATCCACTGTGGAAAGCAGTCTGGAGGTATCTTAAAGAACTTTAAGCAGAGGTTTCATTTGACATAGCAATCTCATTACTGGGTGTATATACAAAAAAAAAAAAAAGAATTCATTCTATCAAAAAGATACAAGCACTTGTATGTTCATCAAAGCACACTATTTACAATTGCAGAGACATGAAATCACCCCAGGTCCCCATCAATGGTAGATCTGATAAAGAAAATGTGGTACATGTACATCACGGAATACTACACAGCCATAAAAAGAATAAAATCACGCCATTCCAGAAATATGGATGAAGCTGAAGGCCATAATCCGAGGCAAATTAACACAGGAACAGAATACTAAATACTGTATGTTTTCATTCGTAAGTGGGAGCTAAGCATTGAACACACGTGGACATAAATATGAGAACGATAGACACTGTGGACTACTAGAGAGTGGAGGGGGTGTGTCGGTAAAATTACTACCTATTTGGTACTATGCTCACTACCAGGGTGGCAGGGTCCATACTCCAAACCCCAGCATCATGCAGTATTCCTATGTAACAAACCTGCACATGTACTCTCCATATTGAAAAGTTGAAATTTTTTAAAAATGTACTTATACTGTAAAAATATTGCAAATATATTTTAAAATATGTATTTTAGGATAAAAGGCATGAAAAGTATTTGATCCCTTTACTTTTAAAGCTTCCTGTTTCTTTAAGAGAGTATTCCACAAATACTGTAGAAAGTTATATATTAAAATTTGCCTCCATGATGTCATTATAGTTGTATTCAATTTCTTGGCTAGATGTATTGCCTTATTTAGTAGGTTACTGCATCAGCATCTTTGGTAGAGTAGTGAGGAAGTGAAAAAGAGCAGGAGAAGGGATAATGGAACTTGCTGAAAACATAGCTTCTAGATAGCCACTATATTGATGTATCAAAAGTATAATTATATACATGATAGCACACCACTTGGCATATGATAGTCTATAATCTTGAAGAATGTATATATTGCCTAAAGTATATAATAAAATATATCTTCCATGATTTTTTTTTAATTTTTAAAAGGTAAATATTGTATGCATAAATATTTTTTCTTTGCAATTTGGCAACATGGACTAACATAATAATTTGTTCTTGGTTAATAGTACAATATGTTAAATGAATTATCTTCTTCTATAGTATACATAAGTTGTTGATGGAATGCATTTGAAACCCATGTGACTTTACTCTGTTTGCAGGACTGGGTTAATCAGTTATATTGTTATAGTTTTGACCCACCCTGTTGAATTCTCTCAGTTTCCCAGGCAGCTCTATTCCTTCTTCTGCTTGTACCTTAAATATCTGTGTTTTCCATTCTTTCCTCATTTTATGCATTTTTCACTTTGCATTATCTCCTTTATACAGCCTAATGACTTTATTATGCTTCACATTATTGTGCTTCACAGACATTGCAGTTTTAAGAAATTAAAGTTTGGTGGCAAATCTGTCTCAAGCCAAACTACTGGTGCCAAATTTCCATCAGCATGTGCTCACTTCATGTCTCAGTGTCACATTTTTAAAAATTCTCATGACATTCCAAATGTTTTTTATTATTACATTTTCATTATTGTTATGGTGACCTGTGATCAGTGATCTTTGATGTTAGTATTGTAATTGTTATGGGGCACCATGAGCCACACCCAAATAGTATGATGAATTTAATCCTAAATGTTCTGTGTGTTCCAGCTGCTCCACTGACTGCCCATTCTGCTGTCTCTCTCCCTATCATTGAGCCTCTCTTTTCTCTAAGACACAGAAATTAGGCCAGTTAATCACCCTAGAATAGTCTCTGAGTGTTCAAGTGAGAGGAAGAGTTGCATGTCCCTTACTTTAAATTAAAAGATAGAAATAATTAAGTTTAGCGAGGAAGTCATATTGAAAGCTAAGATAGGATCACGTTTGCTATTCTGGCTCCTTTTTGTGAATTTTAAAATAGCGTTTTCTAGTTCTGTGAAAAATATCACTGACTTTGAACTATACTACAAGGCTACAGTAACTAAAACAGCATTGTACTGATACAAAAACAGACACATAAACCAATGGGGCAGAATCAGAGCCCAGAAATAATGCTGCACACCTACAACCATCTGATCTTCGACAAAGCTGACAAAAACAAGCAATGGAGAAAGGACTCCCTAATCCATAAATAGTGCTGGGATAACTGGCTAGCCATCTGCAGAAGATTGAAACTGGATCCTTTCCTTTCCTTATACTATATACAAAAATAGACTCAAGATGGATTAAAGACTTAAATGTAAAGCCCCACACTATGAAAATCCTGGAAGATAACCTAGGAAATACCATTCTGGACAGAGAAACTGGCAAAGATTTCATGACAAGGACATCAAAAGCAATTGCAACAAAAGTAAAAAATGACAAATGGGATTTAATTAAATTAAACTAAAGAACTTCTTCACAGCAAAAGAAACTATCAACAGAGTAAACAAGTAACCTACAGAATGGGAGAAAATATTTGTGTGCTATGCATGACAAAGGTCTAATATCCAGCATCCATAAGGAACTTAAATCTACAAACAAAAAACAAACAAACCCATTAAAGAGTGGGCAAAGTACATAGACAGACGCTTTTCAAAAGAAGACATAAATGTGGCCAACAAGCACATGAAAAAATGCTCAGTATCACTAATCATAAGAGAAATGCAAATCAAAACTATAGTGAAATACCATCTCACATCAGTCAGATGGCTATTAATAAAAAGTCAAAAAAAAAAAAACAACCTGAAACCAATAGATGTTGATGAGGTTGAGGTTGCAGAGAAAAAAGGAATATTTATACACTGCTGGTGGGAGTGTAAATTAGTTCCGCCATTGCAAAAAGCAGTGTGGTGATTTCTTAAAGTACTAAAAACAGAACTACCATTCAAAGCAGCAATCCCATTACTGGCAAAGGGATATAACTCATTCTGTTATGAAGACACATGCACACGTATGTTCATTACAGCACTATTCACAATAGCAAAGACATGGAATCAACTTAAATGCCCACCAATGGTAGACTGCATAAAGAAATGTGGTACATGTACACCATGGAATATTATGCAGCCCTAAAAATAAACAAAATTATGTCCTTTGCAGGAACATGAATGGAGCTGGGGTCATTATCCTCAGCAAACTAATGCAGGAACAGAAAAACAAATACCACATATTCTCACTATAAATGAGAGCTAAATAATGAGAACACATGGACACAAAAGGGAGGAACAACAGACACTAGGGCTTACTTGAGGGTGGAGGGTGGGAGGAGGAAGATCATCAGAAAAAATAACTATCGGGTACTAGGCTTAGTACCTGGGTGACAGAATAATCTGTACACCAAACCCCTGTGACAGGAGTTTACCTATATAAGAAACCTGCACATGTACCCCTAACCTAAAATAAGAGAAAAAAAGAAAAATGCAACAATAGGCATATCTTTCTTGTAAAAGATAATTTTGCTGGGTATAATATTTCTGCATGTTAAAATGGTTTCTTTTTTTCCTTGAGTATATTGAATATATCATCCCACTCTATCCTGGCTTCAAGGTTTCTGTTGAGAAATTCATGAACAGTCTTGTGAGGATTTGCTTATATGTGATGATTTGCATTTCTCTTGCTCCTTTCAACTTTATTTGTTTTTGAATTTAGGTAATTTGATTATAATATGTCTCATTGAAGATTTCTTGATATTCAGCTTATCTGGGATTTTTTGAGCATCACTAATGTGGATTTTCATTCAGATTTCTCCAGATTTGGGAGTATGTCACTTCTTTATGTTTGCTTTCTGTCCCTTTCTCTTCTCATTATAGGACTCCATAGTTTGCATATTTGTTTGCTTAATGCTATATTTCATGATAGGCTTTCTTCATGCTTTTAATTAATTAATTAATTAATTAATTATTTTGAGATGGAGTCTCAGTCTGTTGCCCAGGCTGGAGTGCAGTTGCATGATCTCGGCTCACTGCAACCTCCAGCTCCTGGGTTCAAGTGATTCTCCTGCCTCAGCCTCCTGAACAGCTGGGATTACAGGCACACGCCACCATGCCTGGCTAATTTTTGTACTTTTAGTAGAGACAGGGTTTCACTATGTTGGTCAGGCTTGTCTCAAACTCCTGACCTCGTGATCCACTGGCCTTGGCCTCCCAAAGTGCTGGGATTACAGGCATGAGCACCAGGGCCTGGACGCTTTTTATTTATTTTCAAATTTTTGTTCCTCTGAATGAATAATTTTAAATGATTTCTCTTTATTTTTGCTGATTCTTTCATCTGCTTGATTGAATCTGTTAAGTCTCTCTACTAAGTTTTTTATTTCCCTCATTATATGTTTTATTTCCAGAATTTGTTTAATTCTTTTTATGGTTTTTAACTCTTTGCTGAATTATTCATTTTGTTCATGTATTGTTTTCCTGATGATTAGATGTCTGTGTTCTGTAAGAAGAATTGTTCTTAATTCTTCACTGGGCAATTTATAGATTTCTATTTCTTTGGGGTGGTTATTGGAAAATTATTGTGTTCTTTTGGTGATGTAATTTTTCCTGCATTTTTGTGTTTCTTCCAGATTTTTATTGATGTTTTCACATGTAAGGGAGCAATAATCTCATCCAGCCTTAAAGGATAGGTTTCAGTGGGGAAAGACCTTCACCTAAAGGTGAATGCAAAGGTGCTAGATGGGTTGGGTGCAGAAGTTTCAGCTATGGGGAGAGTACAGTGGCATAGTCTCCATGCAACAACATTTACTGAGGTCAGTATTGAGAAGGCTGTGGGAGTTCTTGGCAGTCAAGGTTGCAATTGTCTACAACGACAGCAAGAACAATTTGGTCATTGGTGGTGGAGGCTGCTGAAATCCTTCTGTTCTATTTTTCTCCTTGGGAAGAAATTATTTTCAATAGCATTACTCTTGGCACTGGGTCCAACATTGGAATAAACTTGCAGTGACAGTAGTGCCCTTGTCTGATGTGAAAGCATACATGGAATAGATGCAAAGCTGAGTCCTGAAGCATAGGCATGTATTAAATGATTGCAACCCTGGGTTTCCGGGTATAGACTCACCTGTTGTGGTAGTATGCCAGTGTGTGGAACACAGCTGTGCCTGCTGTGGTGGTGGTGCCAGCGTCTAGAAAATGGGTGTATGCACAGTAGCTGCGGAACCAGAATCCAGATCATGGTATGCAGAGAGCAAATATGGGTCTGTGGTCTAGACATGAAAACAATTGAGGGCAGGGAAGAAATAGCACTTTAGCTGGGTGTACAATGGTATCTCTTTGTTTCCAGAGGGTCTGTAGCAGCTGCAATGGTATTGACATCCTCAGCACTAAAGGCTGCTGGTGTCCTCTGCCTGACAGGCCACTGGAGACCTGGTGGCTCTTGCCAATGGCTGATATTGATAGCCTCTGCCCTTTTTTGTTTCTAGTCATCTCCAGATGACTCAGCTATGCTGATCTCCCCAGCAATATGAGTGGAGTGAAACCAAAGTGGGTCTTTCAGGCAGTGCCCCAAAAAGCTGAGGAGGCTGGTTACTTGTCCTGTTCTCCTTCTCCTTTTGCCTATTAAGGGAACTCACGGACTGAGGAGACTCCTCTCAGTGGTGAACTGTGCTGGCTTGTGCTGAGATAGAGTGACGCAGGCAAAATGAAGCTGTTCTTTCTACCCTTTCTGTGCAGTTATTCTCACTTTTTTTTTTTTTTTTTGGTTCTGTGTTGCTGTAGTTTTTTAACTAGAGTCCTTAAGTCCTGAACTCTTCCAGAGTGATTTTTATTCCTGGAGAGCTGTGTTTTTTTTTTTTGTTATTTTTTTTTTTTTCTGTGGGAAGATAAAGGCTGGAACCTCCCGTTCTGCCCTCTTGCTCATATCGCTCCCCTTTTATCAGTTATTTATACAGCCTATTTGCCTGACATTTTACCAAACCTGAAAAATTAAAGGATTAAACAGCAAATATCCAAGATGTTTTATTATACTGGGCAAGGAGATGTGGATACTTAACCAAATTAAAATCACATTTAATTAAAATCTCATGTGTTTAACTCACACTAGCCTATGAAATATTTAAGGGAACATAGTATATTTTATTTATTTTTGTATTTTCAGTATGTAGTTCAGTACCCGTCTCATGATAATGTCTATATGTGTGTTTTATGAACACATAAAAGAGGGAAAGAAGCAAGAGTAGAAGGAAGATTGAAAAAAAAATAGAGATATGTATTAAAAATGTGAAAAAAATGTGTTCCTTTTTAAATGAAAGCAAATGCACTTTTATTTATGCCACTAAATTTGGCATTATTTAGCAGTAATGGAGATAATGTGTTCTGGGGGATCAAACCAACTCACTTTGTCTTTGATAATCCCTAATTCGAAGTTGTCTACATGCTTCCATATCAAGTCAACTTTCATAAAACCAGTTATAGAATGACTTCCTTTGTGTATAAATAATACTCCCTCTACCAATAGCAGCTAGCCATGGCATTAACTCACATTCAAAAAGAGGACATAATCTAAGAGGTATTTCTTCCAGACAAATAGAGATAAAAAATAAATATTTCAACTTATTTACTAAGGGGTCTGGGAAGGAGAAAGACAAGCGGGACATTCTGGAATGCTGATATCATGATCTCTCTATTAGCTGAATTCTCAAAGGAATAGAGTAGAATTGAACATATAAACCAAAAGCAAAAAAAAGGGTTTGTGCCCGCTCTCCATATCTTGAAGCTGACTGGATTATATTTGCAAGGTGGTCTGATGCAAGCATAGGAAAGCTGGAGTATAGTAAAAAGTGGCAGTGGATTATGCTGGGTCACAGAGGGACTGGCCTGCATTTGCTGTTTTGAGCCTCCCTAGCAAACTTTTGGCATGAAAGTTGCCAGAAATTTCTACATACTCCACTGCAGAGGCAAAATGAAGTTGAATTAAGAGCCTAAAGACTTGCCTAGCATAGCCATAGTGACAGATGTGGTAAATTCCATAGAGCTCATGATAAAGCAAAGTAGCCAGAAGCTGGGTAGAAAATGTGACTAGCTTCAGAGAGGTCTATAACATCAGCAAGGGCAAAGATAATGACAAATCACCAGAAAGACTACTGTCTTGAATTCATCCTAAAGGAAAGACCACAATTTCACCAGTTGCAATCTTCTCCAGCAATCTTCATCAGTGGACACACTTGCAGGCCAGACCAATCAGGCCACAGCAAGTACTGGAAATCACCCAGGTAGCACACTGATTTGAAACTTTTCTCTCTCCCACTGTCTGCCACATCTATTAGAACCTTATCTTGTATCTCTCAGATCTTGAGAGATCCATGATGGGAAGAAAACCTGAGACAGAGTGAATGCTCCTGAAAAATTGAATTACCCAAATGAGCCTACCTTAAATCAAAGATCCTGCTAATTCACAGCTTTATAAACCCTCAGTTAAGGTCTCCTCCACCACCCAACTATACTCTGGATTGGAGGCTCACAAGTCAAAACTAGCTCAGTTATAGAAAATAGAGGAGCTGCCTTGTAATAAATATGTGACTCTGCTATGTATGCTACATATGGACAATATTTTGGCACATGAAGTCTCTACCTAAACCAAAATTATATTTATTATATTCTTTCTTTTTAATATCTTTTCAAGTCTCCAAAAAGTTTTGTTTTCTCTTCCCTGTCACATACCATTTAACAACTCAATTCACATGTATTAAGTTGAGCAGTGTTACAGAATGAATTGTGATTCCCCAAAAGATGTTAAGGTTCTAACCCCCCAGTACTTGTCACTGTGACCTAATTTGGAAATAGGGTATTTTGCAGATCATCAAATTAAAATAAAATCATTAGTGTGGATTCTAATCCAATATCTCAGTGTCTTTTTTAAAAGGTAATATTTGAATGTAGAGAGAATGCTGTGTGAAGATTGGAGTTAATGCTGTCACAAGTCAAAGAACGATGAGAGGCTAGGTGAGAGCATCTTCAGAGGAAGCAAGACTCTGAGAGTACCTGGATCTTAGACTTTTAGGTTCCAGAACTGTGAAATAATAAATTTCTGTTGCTTAAGCCATCAATTTGTGGTATATTGTTATTTCAGCCCCAGGAAATTAATATAGGTGCTGTGCTGAGCAGCATCAGCCTATTTAGAGAAACAAGACATAAAATAGACATGAGAGGAATTTTTTTATCTTTTATTTCTCTCCATGGATAATGTTACTTTTATATTATTTTTCATTAATATTATTTTCATAACAATGTTATTTTTTATGATATATATAGTTGACAATATGCATAGGCACATATATTGCCTACAATGTAGGCAACCAGTAGCAACAAATGTAGTGATTAGTGTTAAAGATATCTCGGCCTTCCCTTATCTTAACACTGTTTTAGTTATATTTTAGTGATCTATTTAATGCCTACCTTATCTTGCATATTATCAGGCTACTGCATATGGTCTCTACTAGAGTTATTCAATGTTGTATTAGTGTCTTATAACAAATTACCACTAACTTGTTGGCTTAAAAAAATTAGAAACTGTTTCCTCAGTTCTGGAAGCCAGATGTCTGAAATCGAAGTGTCACCAGGGCCATCCTCCTTCCAAAGGCTCTGGGGGAGAATTGTTTCTTGCTTTTTCTGGCTTCTGGTGGCTCCAAACATTCTTTGGTTTATAATAGTATAACTTCAATTACTGCCTCCTTCTATATTTGACCTCCTCTTCTATGTCTTTTCCTTTTCTGTGTCTTCACTTCTTCTTATAAGTCAATAATTATTGGGTTTAGAGCTCACCTGGATAATCCAGAATAATTTCAAGGGTAAAATTTTTAGGACATCCCAAAACTCATTTTTGTCCTGAGATAAAGTGATACCTGGAATGTCAAATGATGACATATACAATTCTATATAGGACTGTGAGGGATAATAAGATAATCTGAGGTGAGAGGGAGTGATCCTAATTAGACCAGGGTTGAAAAGAGTTGGATATCTTAACCAAATCATTTGTTATACATTGTTTTGATCTATGACATACTACATTTTTTGCTATGAGAAACATTTTCAAGCTACTGTATAAACCTAGCCTTTTGCTCCTCTACCCCATAACCCCCAATCTGTCATTTGAATTTGTGTCTGGCTTGGTTTGCTGTCAGGAGAGAAAATCAGGCAGCAGTTGTGGCCCTATTGGGACTGTCAAAAAGAGAGAGAATGATGAAGGTGTCAGAAACTTTTTTTTCTTCTTTAGAATAATGTAAGGGAGGACTTTTTTTTACCAACAAGATATATGATACAATCATAAGGAAAAATACTGCATAGAATAGTCTCAAAATTTGTTTAGTAAGAAGTGATACAGCATTACACTTCAGAGTTGTTGAAAAATATCTTTTGTAAAACAACAATCATGAAGTAGGTAAATAGTTTTGGAGACCAATAATTTGTGAGCATTACCTTGACATTCTTGTGTCTTACAGAAATAACCAAAAATGTAAATGCAGTTATCTTAGTATATCAGTAAACGCTGTACTTTTAAAAATTTAATCTTCTTTATCTGTGACTTGATTTGTCTCCTCTAAAAATTTTCTGTTTAATCCTCTATTTGGTCTTGCAAGCACATATTTTTGATCATGTGTGCTGGTTTCTTTTGTTACATCAGTTGAATTAAACTACAGTAATAAAGGAAGCTTTCAAAATTGTTTTATATGGTAGTCGTGTTGATCTTGAAAATGAAGGCATTTATATTACTCTTCTATGAAAGGTAAGGGACTGAAATGTTGTGTATCATTTTTCAATAGAAATGTTTAATGTGGCATTCTGAAAAATAAAGTGAAAAACTAGGCAGGCCATGAATAATTACTAAATAGGAAGAGTCATAGAATAAGCTGTTGATTAATGTTGTTTCCACAGGTATGTCATTTAGATGATTATATGGAGTTGTCAAAGCTAAAGTAAAAATATGCCCAAAGCAACCGTTTTCTGGAAGTGATGTTTCAGTGTCAACTAAAGCTGATGTCTGATGTTGTGACATCACTTCAAGCAATCTTTCATGAAGGACTGTAATAACATGGCAGCTTTGTGCAATCATGAATCCCCTTAGGAAAATCAGGTGTCAGGATGATATGCATACAACCAAGAAGTCAGATTATTATCATGTCCTCGCTTACCAGTACTACAAAATGTTAGGCTAAATATTCAGGACAAAACTGTAAAATGAATAAGGGACATCTTTGGAAAATGTAGTTTGATAGCCACTTTTCTTAGAGACTGATTCCAAATCTTTTTATGTTTAGCTCTATTATATTGTGAGTGCCAAACAATGTGGAAAAGACTATCTAATTCTATCAAGTAGTCATTAAATAACCTGAAGAAAAAGAAAAGGTTCATCATCTCTGCCAATATGCTCTACGGAAAAATGTCATGTGTGCCCCACTGGATATATGAATGTAAATCTCTGTCAAATGCACTTAAAAGGATTCACTCAAATAAAAGAAGCAAACAAAAACCACACTCAAAAGTAGAATATAAATACCATGTACTAACCAAAATCCCAAAGGAAGAAAACAAACAAACAGAAAAGACCTGAATCTATTTTTTTCCTTTAAGAACTCAGCAAGACATTTAAATTTGCTTAGCCAAGCCACTTGAGACTTAATTCTTTCTGTCATTTCATTTTTCTCATTTATTCTGCCTGCCCTTGGGCTTTTTTCTCTTCTGTGTTCTACAGAAAGCAAAAAAGAAATATAAGATTTGTTTTCCCATATACAAAGAAAAATCTACATGTACGCATTTATTCATTTCTAACTGCTATTATCTAATCTTCTGCCATCCCCCAATTATGCCCATAATTGCACACTTGATGTTTGATCATTTTGCATTTTTAATAAAAAGATTTTTATTAAAAATTTTAAATTTTTTTAATTTAAGTTGTTATTAAACATTTTAATAAAAATTTTTTTATTTTTCCTCTGGCATCTCTACCCCCAATCTCTGTTTATGACTACCTTTGGCTCATGATATGTACAAGATGCAGCAGTGTTGTTCACCATTATGCAGGCTATTGCTATAATATCCCCTTTCCACACTTCACTACATGTGGCCAAAGAGAGCTTTCCAGCTCTCAGGTTCTAGCTCATGATGTCTGTAATTGTTATTCAAAAAATTGATCTGTAAGATCACTACCAATCCTGATGATGCCTGTAATTCTCTACATGTCTTTGAGGATGTCAAACTAAAACCACATCTTCCTTTGCCCTCCAGTCTGCTTCTCCTTTGTGTTATAGCATTATTTGTCTTAGAACTTGTTTCCTTTTACAGGTCACCTTCATGATAATAGGTAGTATTTACTTTGCCAATGTTGGTAATTAGAGTTAGTTGCTTTTGAAAGCATTCCAAAACAGCAATTTTTTGTATATATTTAAATATCTCATCCTGCTTAAAGTTATTTTAGAATGCTACTCAATTAAAGAGCCTTGTGAATACCATGGTGAAAAGCTAAGACACATAGTGGTATTTTGTATTACAGTATATAGTCATGTAGTCCCTGCAGGTAAAAATCTCCCCAAATTTCCCTTTAATAAAAGCACCTAAAAAAGTTAAAATTGCTCAAAGAGCACTTTCTGCATGCTGGCAAGGAATTTGGAAGTTTCTAAAAGCTAAGAAAGCCTAAAATCCTTTCTAAAAAATTTATATCTTCTCTCTCAGAGAAATGATTGTCTAAGCTCTTAGTGATTTTTATTTTATAGTTCTGTTTTTACTTTCTTTGAAGGTAAAAGTTGGAGTATTGTATGTGATAGGACAATAATACTGCCATCTTAATGAGACTCCACCACCTTGAATATCAAGTTTCCATTTCTCAAAACTGTCCGTTGGTATTTGACCAAAATGCAAAAGTCAGCCCCACCTGTATCTTCAACAGAGCATAACAATCCCAACCAAGCTTATCAAAGTCTCTAGCAGTCCCAACCAGCCAGCACTCCCCTAACTCCTCCCCATTAGGAACTTCTCTCAGAATACACTTCCCCTACCAGGCCCTTTTTAAAAGCTTCAGGCTGTAAGAGAGGTTTGCTCCTGACCCTGCCGGCCAGAAGCCCTTCTCAGGTTTACTCTCAAAAAACCTGTCTCAACCATTGAGCGGCTCTCTCATTTGGTCTTCCTTCACGTCTTTCCCTCTGCTCTAACAGTATGTATCTATATTAATGAACTCCAAGAACAGAAATCTGTAAAACTGTTGCATTATATACGGAATAGCTAATTGTTCATTCTCATTAGGTAATTGTTCATATGCATTCTTTAACAGCAGTTTTTCCCACCATAACAGAACTTAATATTCACTTTATTAATTTTTAAACTATCAAATGGCCTATAGGTGAATGGAGAGAAAAAATAACTTCAGTGATAAACTTTTGTACTGTAACCAGGATGCCTTGGTGTGTATGTATTCTCTGTCTGTTCTGGTATATACATATTCTCTCTCTATTCTGTCAGTCTTTTTCTCTCTCTCTATTCATCTGTTACATTGCATAGTATCCCTGAAATGTCCATGTCCTCATCCCTATAACTTGTGAGTGTGTTACTTTACATGGCCAAAACCTTTGTGGATGTAAATAATTTAAAGATCTTGATTATCCTGGCTTTTTTGGATTATCTGGACTCATGGCAATCACAAGAGTCCTTATATAAGGGAGAGGTAATCAGAGAAGGTATAAGGAATGCAGAGTTGAACAGAGTTTTAAAGATGTTATGCTGCTGGCTTTGAAGATGGAAGAGAGGCCATACACCAAGAGATGCAGGTGGCCTCTAGAAGCTAATAAATGCAACAAAATGTATTTTCTTCTATAGCCTTCAGGTAAAGCATATCCTTGAAGACTCATTTTAGATTTCTGACCTGAAGAAATGTATGATAATAAATTTGTATCATTTTAATCCACTGAGTTTGTCATAATTTGTTACAGAAGCAATAGAATACTACATATATCTATGTGTGTGTGTATATATGTGTGTGTGTATATATATAATAAATTGTATATATTTATTCTCCCATTTCACAAATATCTATATGTGTGTGTGTATATATATATATATATATATAAAATAAATTGTATATATACGCACATAGATATTTGTGAAATGAGAGAATTCCCTGGCCCCACATTACAGGACATATGACAGGTGTGTGGCTCTCTGGTTAATGTGAGCTCAAACCCCTTACAAGATGGGGAGCATGCAGACAGGAAGCTGCAGGTGACGGGGCAAGTGCTTTGGGCTCTGGCCCCATGGTAGTGTCTAGGAGTGGGTATCTGTGAATGCCAAAGCCCAAGCAGATGTTACAGTGTGCTCATTTAGCTTTGCCACCTGCAGATGGCTTAAGTATTAACCAGCTCAGTGCCCTCTTGGCACCCACATTTTTGTCCAGAGTCCAGGAAGAATCAGGTCACACATGGACTTGAAGAGTGAATGCAGGGGTTTTATTAAGTGGTGGAGGTTGCTCTCAGTGGGATGGATGGGGAGCTGGAAAAGGGATGGAGTGAAAAGATGATCTTCTCTTGGAATTTGGCCGTACAGTGGCCAATCTCCTCTTTGATCGTCCCCAGCAAAACTCTCCTCAGCATTCAGATGCTCCTCTTCTCTCCTTCTCTGCCACATTGTTCTCCCATTTGTCTGCTCATCTCTTTCTGGAGCCTGGGGTTTGATGCTTATATGGGTTCAGGACAGGGGGACATGGTGGGACAAAAGGCAACTTTTTGGGCATGAAAACAATAATGCCTGTTCTCACTGAGGGTCATGGGTTTCTAAGCTTGAGGGTGGGACCTTTGCTGGGGAATCGCCCTCTTCTATGCAGTATTTTCCTGTCTCCTGTCTGTATCATATGTAGTAATCTTTGAAGTAAGAATTGGAGTATTGTATACATACACACATATATACATATATCTATGTGTGTGTATATATATACACACATATAATATGTATATACATAATATGTATATATTTATATATTGTGTGTATACATATATACACACACTATATATGAATTGTGTGTATATATTGTCTATGTACATGCATATATACATATATCTATGTATGTATACCTATGTATGTATATATAGTTTTGTATATATAAAGTGTGTATATGTGTGTATATATAAACATGCAATATATCCATGTATGTAAATATACACATATTATGTAAATATACACATATTATGTATATATACGCAATATATATGTATGCATATATGTACCGATGTATATATATATTATGTGAATACATACATATATATACATGTACATACAGATATATATGTATCATTATACTCCAATATATATATTGGCAACCAATCATGAATTATTGGTCTCATATATATATTTTATATATATATATATAAAACACACACTATATACAGTTTATATATATTTGTATACACTATATAATATATATATACACACACTATATACATACATAAAGTACACGTATATGTATACATATATATACATACACACAGATATACATATATATGTGTATATATAGTGTGTTTATATGTGTGTGTGTCTTCATGGGATATCAGTGCAAAGACAAATCAAGTAGCCCATTCAAGGATTTGCATCCTGCCTTCTTGTCATTAAGTTATGTGAGTGGCTCAGGAACTCTCAAACATTATATTTGGCTTAAGGGAGCAAAGAATGGTAACAACATATTGCACCAAACGAAACTATCTGAAGGAAGATATTATTAAAACAATCATTTAATTATTTCCAAAAGTATTTTATTCTAAGCATAAAGTCTAACAGACAGTGATAATCAAAAACATAAGGAAACATTACCCTTGAATAAGTGTCAACATAAAACTAAGAGAAACGATAAATGAACTCTTCTTGCTTTTGAAAATCATTTTGATCTTGTATCATTATATAACTATATTCACAATAACTATTTATTTATAAAAGCATAATTTCAATGTTTTATTTCCCATAATCTTTTCTTTTTTTCTTAATACTTTTTCTATTCTTTAGCTCTCTCATAAGAATCAATTTTCAATCTATTTTCTTCAGTATATATTTGGTATTTTTAAAAAATATATTTAAATATAATTCCTGAATTCAAGCATGAGCAAAAATGACTTTCAGGTATTGTCAAACATGAGTGACCCACTTGGCTCAGTCAGAATTTTGCACTCAAACGTCCTCTAGACTCTGCCAGTATTGTTCTGTCACTTTCTGTTGTTTGGATTTGAGAAGGGAACATCTGATATTTTGAATTACTCTTTGTTATGTACTCAGTTTTTCTGCCTGGATTTATCTAAGATTTTTGTATCTTTCCTTAACTTTAAAATTCCTCTTTAAAATATGATTACATATTTTTAAATGGAACCCAAAGTATGTTTACCTATGGAATGCTTTTCCTTGTATATTATAGGGCCTCTCCATCACAACATTCTGCCTTAGCCTCAATACTGCATTCTTAAGGATATCATTCTTGACCATTTTAGTTAAAAGTGTAAACCAACCTTCTCCCCTTTCAGAACATTTTTAAACTTGTTTTATTTTTCTAGTTAGCATTTGTTACCTTCTAATGTATAGTTTACCAATATATCATGCTTACTTTCACTGGAATTTAAGCCCCAGAAGTGTAGGGAATTTAATCTATTTGTTAATTGATATATTTTCAGCATCTAAGATACTTGTTGAATGAATCAGTACATGAATGGATAATTTTATAAATGTCTTAATTATATTTTTCTTGCATTGTGTGAACGCTATTGACCTGAAGACATAGTCTTTATGTTGGTCATAGCAGCTTTCTTCTGTTATTTTACCTTTTAAAAATATATTCAGAGAATTCTCAATGGCCTTGTCATCTGAAGTATTATATACATATATGTTTTAGATAGAGTTAGTAAATAGTCTCCACCCATCTATAAATAGTTCAGTATGCAGATCTGAAATACATGCAGAGATTTTTGGATCCTTATTCCAATACTTCATTTCAGTCAAAGAGACTAAAAATAATTGTATTTACTAGGTTATACATTGTTAATTCAGATATCCATTAACCTGTAGATGATCAGGGAAAAAGTCAGAGCTGAAATCCGTCGGTGCCTCATGTTTTACATCTTTTTGTTTAATAGTGAAGCAGGATATCTCCCTGACTAGATCGTGGACTCATGACAGGGATGCCTTGTTTACTCAGCCTGCTGCTCTCAACTCCACATAGAAGAGAGAGCGCAAGTGAATGAGGTGGGAACTGGAGTGCATGAGGGCTTGAACCAGCCAGCCATTTTGGTGCTGGCAGGATCAAACCCCACTCATTTGGACCAGCTTCATTCCACCACTCCAGAGAGGGAATGGGCAGGGGAGCAGGTGCAGGAGCTGCAGCAAGCGCTTTCGGGCATAGGCAGGAGTGAACTCCATGCAGTCCCTGTGGCAGTGTCAAGTTGGGGTGCCGGTGACTTCTGAAGTCCCAAAGGGCATGTTACAGTGTTGTTTCAGCTCTGCCTTCTACAGAAAGCTTAAGTGTTAATAGCTCAGTGGGTCCATGGCTGCCATCTGCCAGTGAGGGCAAAGGGCCAGTGTGACAGCTTTTTTGTTATTTTTTTTTGAGATGGAGTATTGCTCTGTCTCCCAGACTGGAGCACAATGGCACAATCTCGGTTCACTGCAACCTCTGTCACCTGGGTTCAAGTGATTCTCTTACCTCAGCCTCCCAAGTAGCTGGGATCACAGTCACGTGCCACCATGTCCAGCTAATTGTTTTGTATTTTAAGTAGAGACAGGGTTTCACCATGTTGGCCAGGCCAGTCTTGATCTCCTGACCTCAGGTGATCCACCCGCCTCAGCCTCCCAAAGTGCTGGGATTACAGGTGTGAATCACTGCATCCAGATGTGACAGCCCTTTGTATCCTCACTCATGGCTCCCGATCTCCTGTCCAACATTCAGGCAAAATGAATTTGCACGAACAAATTGAAGGATGGTAAGTGTGAGGGATTTTATTGCTGATTAAAGTGGCTCTCAGAGGGAAAGAGAGCTGAAAAGGGGATATGGGGGTAGATAATCTTACCCTGAAGTTCGGCTGTTTCTGGCTGGATTCTTCTCCGAAGTTATGCCGTTAAACTGTCCCTCTGAAGTCAACCTGCTTCTCTCCATCGTCCAGCTGTAGTCGACCTGTTGTCCAGCTGCTTCTTCTCTCTGATGGCTGAGTCTGGGGTCTTTATAGGCGCAGGATGGGGTGGAGTGGGCATAGGTGTTTAGAAAAAGGCAACATTCAAGCAGGAAAACCGGAATAGAAGTTCTCACTTTGGGCCACGGTTTCAGGCTTTTAGGTTTGGGGGTGGAGTTTCGCTGGGGATCTACCCTTTTCTGCCTAGAATTTCTCAGCCTCATGCCTCTATCATTGTGTCAATAGCATCTACCAATTATAATAGTGAAACAATGATAGTCATTTGCCTTTCTCAGTTGTCCTAATTCAAAATGACATACAGCTGTGCTCCAATTCATTCTTGTGTAGCTACTCAAGTGAACACTAAGCTTGGGGCAAATTTCTCCTGGCTTCACCATTTTGAGTAGCCTTTGAGCTCTGATGAGATTCTTAAATATCATATTGAAATACATGTATGTTCTAAAACCACTTTATGACCTGCTTAAGTGGACTTCTCAAGAGGGGTCTAGATCTTACATTTTAGACTTTTGTTTCAAACACAGGTTTTTGCATGGAGCTTACAATGTGATTTTTTTTTTTAATCATAAACATCTCAAAGTTTGTGGCATGTGGTTTCCCAGCATTTTCTAGCTAGTATGGTAATTTTTCTTGTTTGTTTTTTAAGCTCTAATCATAATTACAATAGACATCCTGTAACTGCATATGCTCATGTCAGAGGTAATGAGAAGCAAATGGGAATTTCATTTTATCAACAACATAAGTGTATGAAATTGTCTAGTTCAGCTTAAGTGCTTTAAAGACACAATCCCAGTCTGGAAAATTATGTCAAACCTTGTCTACATAGGATGGCACCCAGGTTTTATGGAATCAATTATGTAATAGATCTTCAAAATTGTTTTCAATTGACTTTCCAAAACATGTTATTTTTCTTCTTTTTCCAATCTGGTAACACTCAACCACATCCTCCATTTTATAAAATATTTTTAGCCTTCTATGACAACCTGGTGGTAAAACATACTTGCTTTTATCTTATTTGCAGACAAGCAATCTTTCTATTTATATATGTTTTCTTAAGTTTGTAAAATATGATTTTCTAAATTCTGACTATCTCTAATATTTCCTTCTAATCCTGATAGAGATACAAACATAACATTGTTTTGGTCAGAAATAACACTAACTGTTGAATCAAAATAGCTGAGCATAAAAATCCACAGGCTACCTATGTGATTTTATGCCAGGCACTTAACCTCTCTAAACTTTTGTCTTCTCATGTGTAAAATCTACAGATTCAACTAATGTCAAAGCTTCATTCAAACACTAAAAATCTTATAGCTTCCCTGTTGCTCATCAATTATTTTTGTATTGGATGGGATTAAGCCAAAAGTGAAAGTTTTTTTCTATGACTAAAGGGGTATGAAAGATTTTTTAAAAATTAATCTTGACAACGTAGCCGATGAGAAACAAAAGAGGGGTTTTTAGATGAGCATGGATTTTTAAAAGAGACTTACAAAAGAAAATATTCATAAACATGGACAAATGAAAAGACATACAGATATTTACACGAACTTCAAAGAATAAGGATAAGAAGGACAAAGCAAACAATGCATTGGAATTTGCAAAAAATACTAACAAAAATAGCTATGTATGTGTTAAGAAGTTGGTATTCCTAGATGTTGTTTTGTTAACAGATGACTGAGAAAGTAGACCTAGGAAAAATAATCTTCAAGCTGCAGGTTTAAATCTTAATAACAAAACAAAAAGGACCTTAAGGCCGGGCGCAGTGGCTCCCACCTATAATCCCAGCACTTTGGGAGGCAGAGGTGGGTGGATCACCTGAGGTCAGGAGTTTGAGACCAGCCTGGCCAAACCCCATCTCTACTAAAAATTCAAAAATTAGCTGGTCTTGGTGGTGGGTGCCTGTAATCTCAGCTACTTGAAGGGGTGAGCAGGAGAATTGTTTGAACTCAGATGGTGGCAGTTGCAGTGAGCCAAGATCGCACCATTGCACTCCAGCCTGGGAGACAGAGTGAGATTATGCCTCAAAAAAAGAGAAAACCTTAAATAACACAACTACACACATGCACACATGTGTGTGTGCACGTGTACATGCATGGAAATCCAATGATAAAACAGTTGTAAAAACAAATGGGTAACAAAATAACCTGGCTGGCTCCATACCCCAACAAACTTTCAGTCTTGAAGCTGAGAGAAAAACAAAACAAAACATAATGAAACAAAAATCTCCCACTTGCTAACTTGATGTCTGGGCTAGGCCCTGTAATCAATCCATTTTCCAGGATTTCATTTGCCCTAGGACATCATTTTGGTGGCTCAATAGAAAGGCATCCTTGTGATTAATTCTATTCTCATCTTTAATCCTTATTCATAAAATCATGTGTTGTGAATACACTGCTGTTATAATTATCTGTCAAGTCAGCAAGCACCTATTTGATGTGAATAAAAGCCATAAAACTAAAAATTATATGTACTTGCCTTAAAAGAAAAATTTAATTATATTATTTCTAGAAACTTCTGCTCTTTCCTCATTGTGAATTTATATGAAATGAGGAAATAAAGAAGAATATCACAATATTTAGGGTTCCGTAAGTTTCATTCTTGAAGTATCTTTTGTGAGTGGGGAATTATTGTTGTAGAGTGACACTGCAACTTTAAACACTGTGTTTTGCCCAGGTTAAAATCTGAATTCACAGTAATAGTCACATGTTCTGTCTTTAATGCTTATTTATTATATTATGTCTTTTGTGACATATTTAAATGAACATTGGAATTTCCCAGTTAGATTTGTATTTCATTCACACAAAATATTCTAAATCATTAATAGTAAAGTAGAAACTCATGTCTTTTCCATCATACTTAGTTAATATTATTAGTACCCACCCACCTGTGGAGACTTAGAAAAAATACAGGTTTTTCTCTGATTTTTCGGATGAGGCAAAGAGGAAATTTGTCACTCCAATTAGTGGCATTTATTGGGTGAAGCCTAGGGTAGCTAAACATTTTATGAAATGTGCAGAAAGTCATTCATTAAAGAAGAACTGTTTCCCCAATTTCTTTAAAAGTTTTGAAATTTTGAAATTTAACGAATAGGTAAGGGAACATAGAACATAGGCATGACTCGTATTTTGAAATAGAAATTGTGAAGAGCAACCATGTTCTTTTAAACCCACCTGTTCGGAGATCTAATACTGTGTTACATAGCTCTTGAATCTGACTGGGTTGGGCAAATCTTTTGTTCTTAAGCACATGTTCTTTAATGAGCTTACAAGCAGGAAAAGTGTTCAGTTATGCCTTATAAATTGAGGAGGTTGGGCCTGCAAGATCTAATATCACTGTCAATTCTGTGATCCTATGGTGTTAATTTTACATAGCAGTGGTCAAAAGTGAAATTTTATTTTTAACAGAAGCGAGGATAATATTAATAAATGCCTCCTAAAGAGGAAAAGGAAAGACTAGAGAAATTTAAAGGACATAAAGTAAATATTTAATCTTCTTTTTGCTATGAAGTCACTAATGGGTTTGTTTGTCTTCCTCTATAACCACTATATTATAATTAAATTGTAAGTTCATTGAGAGTAATGTCTATAAATGTTGATTTTTCTCTTCTTCACTACAATCGGTTAGGGTGTTTAGTAAATGTTTGTTAAAATAACTGAACTCTAATTATAAAATAGTTAATTCAGTATGTTTTTACTTTGAGAGAAAGATCTCTCAAAATATTTCATACAACACCCTTAACAACTTGGAATTACTCCTTCACAAAGAGTATTTTCATAACCTTAGCAAGTTTTTTTTTTTTAGTTGGAATGGCATGGCTTTTTTCAGACATAACTTTTTAAAAGCTGAAGCCATAGCAGAGGCATTGTATGTATTCCTTGCCAATAGTTACTTTTACTCTCATGTACTCTGTAGTATTATAGTTGTTTTGGACATAAACTCCAATGCTCATTCAAAAAAAAATTATATTAGCAATGTATGAGTTAAAGAAAAAAAAAATGATTACCTGGTGCAGTAGGCAGAATGGTCTCTCAAAAATGCCCATGCTTTAATCCGTGAATTAAAACTATGAATATATTACATTACATGGCAAAAGGGACTTTGCAGAGGTAATTTTTGTTATAGACCTTAAAATAGGGAGATTTTCCTGAATTACCTTGGTGGCTGCAATCTAATTATGTAAGCCTTTAAAATTAGAGCACTTTTTCTGACAGGAGACAGAAGAGATGGAGCAGAGAAAGTACAGATTCTAAGAATGAGAACAATTTAATCCTCCATTATTGGCTCTCAGATGTGGGGTCCTATTTTCAAGGATGAGAGGCAAGCCTGTAGGGGTTAAGGGTGGTTCCAAATGACAGCCAGCAAGAAGATGGTGACCCCTAGATTTCTATCCTACATACACTAGATTCGGCCAACAGCTTGAGTTAGCTGGTAAAACCATTCATCCCCATACCTTCAGAAAGGAAGAGGCCAGCTGATACCTTAAGTTTTGCCTTGTGAGACTCTAAGCATGGGACTCAGCTGAGGCACACTGTACCTGGACATCTGACCTAAATAAATGATAAGATAATGCATTCATATTGTTTTTAAGCTGTTTAATTTATGATAGTTTGTTATGGCAGAACAGGAAACTGATATTCTTGGTGAAGCAATCCCAGACACCTTTTTCTTTTTCTTGGATCAAGGTATAATCTATTGAAAATGTGGTTTAATATCACTTATATGTCCAATATTGTGTTACTTTGAAATTAAAAGAAAAACGACAATTTACCTACATTTTTCATTAGAAGCTCACTGTGTGACTACAGAATATAACTACTACACTTTAGTAGGCTTTTTTCCTTAAGTATTAAATATTGTGGTGCTGATTATAAAGTTTTTTTTTCCTTTTAAGACAGTTGTAAATTTTAAATGAGTTAAGAAATGTAAAATACTTAGTACAATATCTGATCCATGATAAGTACTTTGGAAGTTTTAGTTATTATTGTAATTATGAAGCAAATATTTGATGATAAAATAATTATCATTGTAAGCTTTATTATTTGTGATAAAGTCTAGCTTAACTCAAGTAGGACTTGAAATGAACACTTAGAAAAATACTTAGAGTTCTGCTAAGCAAGTGGGAAGAAAAAAGGGTGCTATGGGTTTTAAAAATGCATGTGATAATGTGTGGAGAAATAAGTACCACCATGATGAGTAATCAAAAGCATGCCCAATTGAATAAGGTGACTCCCATGGAACTGGAAATTGACAGTCTCTTACATGGTGGAAACCATGAAGTCTTTCACTTCGGTACACCTACTGTGCAAATCTCAACAGAGGAAAAGTGTGTATCCACTGTTCTTATCCTACGTCTTATGAGGTTTAACATTTATCTGCTCTGAGATCTAGTATGTAGTAGCTCAGACAAGCTGCAGATCTTGGTTGCCTTTGTCTTCTTTGTACTAATCACAAGCAGTATTATTGTCAGCTAGGTCTAGATCATTCTGTGGGTCACAAATGACCTAACTTTCTGTACCTGTCCCACTTCCATTCAACTTTTTGCCAAGATATCTTCTTTTGCAAAGGACAGAAATCCAATCAAATGTAACTAACATAACATCAATTACAAAATTATTGGCTTTTCTTCATTAAAAAGTTCAGGGGTTCAAGCACAGGTACATCTAGGTTTTGAAACAATGAACTGATGAATTTGTCTTTCCTTGTTCATCAGTTCTGCTGTCCTCTACATTGGAACACTTCTGTGCGATTTTTATATTAAGGTTGGAAAGATAGCCTCTAGCATCAGAAATTTTACATAATGTTCAAGCTTATGATCTCAGAAAGAAAGATAATTTTTGATGCATTCCATATTAATCCATGTAAAAAGACTTTGATTGGTTTTCCTAGGGTCAAGTGTCTGACATGTGGTCCCACTTTTTTGCCCCCTCCCTCACCATTAGCTCATTATGTCTCATGCTTGGGTCAGTCTAAGTTGTTTACTGAACAAAAATTTGGATTTATTTTCCTTGAAATTATTTTCTCTTCCTCCTCTATTATTGTAATACTATTGTATGATTCTCATAATTAGAGGTTTTTAAAAGGGCCCTTCTATTAAGAAGGCAGAATTTTAGAAAGATGTGTATGATACAGTTTAGGAGGTAATGATCAGTTTGGAATGTGAATCATAATGCAAGTGAAGAGGAAATATAAAAGAGCTAAATATTGCAAGAAAATATACAATGGGAATTAACAAACGGATTCAATGCTTTCTCTGTGTTCTCGTGCAAAGTTTATAATAATGAATGCCTCTGCCTTCAAATTCTGTAGGAAGATAAAATCATTGTGCAAGTAAGCCAGTGAGTATATAAAAAAGATATATAAAGCTAGAAGGGTGGGGTAGTGAGTGTCCTCAGTTACAAATGTATATTTGCATCAAATTTTTCTTAATCATAAAGACAAATAATTGGAATTATGTTTTCTACATTTATCTACCTAGGCTGAAATTATGATTGCAAAAATTCAGTTACCTTAACCTGTATTAATTCTTATTCTCAATTATTTGCCTTTTTTTTTTTGGCCTTTTAATTTTAAAGTGAAAAGGTGAATATTAAAAGAGAAAACTTTCTCTCGCCATAATAAAAGGAGTAGGAGGGGCTACATTCAGACCATACTCATTTTCATTTTCTTCAATTAGACTCACAGGCATTTTACTGATTTCCTCCAAAATGCCTGGATATAGTGGGTGTTGAACTACATTTGCAGAATAGAACCAAATGATTATATCTTCCATTGGTCTAATTTTAATAATAATTTCTGGCATTTGATGTATCCCAAAAATGTTATATTTGCATCCTGCTTCCATGTAAATATCCTAATTGCAATTAATGCCACTTATTGGAATACTGCTGCTGTATTGTGTGAATGTAGTTCAGAAACTCATTGCTTAGTTTGCCCTTTAATGTCAGGTAAATCACAGTATTATAGAGAAAATAGCTTAGATCAAAGAAATCCAAAACATTCAGGTCAATTAATTCATGAACTTCAATAGCCAGTGGATGGCAAGTGTCTTAATTATTTTAAAATGTGACAGTTGAAGCAAAAGGCAGCTAGTTTGGAAAGTAGTATGTGTGAAGCATTAGCTGAAAGAAGCACAGGTTTTGATTGAAGCACCAATTTTGGAATACTTTTTAAAACTCCATTCATCAGTATTAGAAAGATAAATGAACAAAGAAATATAAATGAAGGGGAAGTATAAATTAAGAAAAAATCTGATTAAATAGCAGAATTAAACTTCACTGTTGTAATATTTTTAGATTCTGTTTTATGTGAATTAGAGTAGACAAGAAGTTGTATTATTCATCAAAAAGTGAAAGGGACTGAATTAAAATTAATAAGCCATACTGTTTCTTATTGGGTTCATGCTTTAGAAGTTTAATGCAATAGCAATTGAATGAACACATTCTATAAATAAAGGAAAAGAGTTATTATTGTAACCCAAT